>NC_000023.11:147202878-147505909 GCF_000001405.40 Homo sapiens
GGAGACAGAAAGTTAACAAGGATATCCAGGACTTGAACTCAGCTCTGCAACAAGGAGACCTAATAGACATCTACAAAACTCTCCACCCCAAATCAACAGAATATACATTTTTCTCAGCACCACATTGCACTTATTCTAAAATTGACCACATAGTTGGAAGTAAAGCACTCCTCAGCAAATGTAAAAGAACAGAAATCACAACAAACTGTCTCTCAGAACACAGTGCAATCAAATTAGAACTTAGGATTAAGAAACTCACTCAAAACCGCACAAGTACATGGAAACTGAACAACTTGCTCCTGAATGACTACTGGGTAAATAACAAAATGAAGGCAGAAATAAAGATGTTCTTTGAAACCAATGAGAACAAAACACAATGTACCAGAATCTCTGGGACACATTTAAACCAGTGTGGAGAGGGAAATTTATAGCACTAAAAGACCATAAGAGAAAGCAGGAAAGATCTAAAATCGACACCCTAACAAACGTCATAAAAGAACTAGAGAAGCAAGAGCAAACACATTCAAAAGCTAGCAGAAGGCAAGAAATAACTAAGATCAGAGCAGAACTAAAAGAGATAGAGACACAAAAACCCCTTCAAAAAATCAATGAATCCAGGAGCTGCTTTTTTGAAAAGATCAGCAAAGTTGATAGACCACTAGCAAGACTAATAAAGAAGAAAAAAGAGAAGAATCAAATAGACACAATAAAAAATGATAAAGGGGATATCACCACTGATCCCACAGAAATACAAACCACCATCAGAGAATACTATAAACACAGGTATACAAATAAACTAGAAAATCTAGAAGAAATGGATAAACTCCTGGACACATACTCCCAAGACTAAACCAGGAAGAAGTTCAACCTCTGAATAGACCAATAACTAACAGGCTCTGAAATTGAGGCAATAATTAATAACCTAACGACCAAAAAGAGTCCAGGACCAGATGGATTCACAGCCGAATTCTACCAGAGGTACAAATAGGAGCTGGTATCATTCCTTCTGAAAGTATTCCAATCAATAGAAAAGGAGGGAATCCTCCGCAACTCATTTTATGAGGCCAGTATCATCCTGATATCAAAGCCTGGCAGAGACACACACAAAAAGAGAATTTTAGACCAATATCCCTGATGAACATCAATGCAAAAATCCTCAATAAAATACTGGTAAACTAAATCTGTCAGCACATCAGAAAGCTTATCCACCAAAATCAAGTCAGCTTCATCCCTGGGATGCAAGGCTTGTTCAACATACGCAAATCAATAAATGTAATAACCACATAAACAGAACCAAGGACAAAAACCCTATGATTATCTGAATAGATGCAGAAAAGGCCTTCAATAAAATTTAACAGCCCTCCATGCTAAAAAACACTCAATAAACTAGGTATTGATGGAACATATCTCAAAATAATAAGAGCTATTTATGACAGACCCACAGCCAATATCATACTGAATGGGCAAAAACTGGAAGCATTCCCTTTGAAAACTGGCACAAGACAAGGATGCCCACTCTCACCACTCCTATTCAACATAGTGTTGGAAGTTCTGGTCAGGGCATTCAGATAAGAGAAAGAAATAAAGGGTATTCAATGAGGAAATGAGGAAGTCAAATTGTCCCTGTTTGCAGATGACATGATTGTATATTTAGAAAACCCCATCGTCTCAACCCTAAATCTCTTTAAGCTGATAAGCAGCTTCAGCAAAGTCTCAGGATACAGAATCAATGTGCCAAAATCACAACCATTCCTATACACCAATAAAAGACAAACAGAGAGCCGAATCATGAGTGAACTCCCATTCACAATTGCTACAAAGGGAATAAAATACCTAGGAATCCAACTTACAAGGGATGTGAAGGACCTCTTCAAGTAGGACTACAAACCACTGCTCAATGAAATAAAAGAGGACACAAACAAATGGAAGAATATTCCATGCTCATGGATAGGAAGAATCAATATCATGAAAATGGCCATACTGCCCAAGGTAATTTATAGATTCAATGTCATCCCCATCAAGCTACCAATGACTTTCTTCACAGAATTGGGAAAAACTACTTTAAAGTTCATATGGAACCAAAAAAGAGCCCACATTGCCAAGACAATCCTAAGCCAAAAGAACAAAGCTGGAGGCATCATGCTACCTGACTTCAAACTATACTACAAGGCTACAGTAACCAAAACAGCATGGTACTGGTACCAAAACAGAGATATAGACCAATGGAACAGAGCAGAGGCCTCAGAAATAACGCCACACACCTAAAACCATCTGATCTTTGACAAACCTGACAAAAACCAGAAATGGGGAAAGTATTCCGTATTTAATAATGGTGCTGGGAAAACTGGCTAGCCATATATAGAAAGCTGAAACTGGATCCCTTCCTTACACCTTATACAAAAATTAATTCAAGATGGATTAAAGACTTAAGTTTTAGACCTAAAACCATGAAAACCCTAGAAGAACACCTAGGCAATACCATTCAGGATATAGGCATGGGCAAGGACTTTGTGACTAAAGCACTAAAAGCAATGGCAACAAAAGCCACAATAGACAAACGGGATCTAATTAAACTAAAGAGTTTCTGCATGGCAAAAGAAACTACCATCAGAGTGAACAGGCAACCTACAGAGTGGGAGAAAATTTCTGCAATCTACTCATCTGACAAAGGGCTAATATCCAGAATCTACAAAGAAACAAGTTTACAAGAAAAAAACAACCCCCCCAAAAAGTGGGCAAAGGATATGAACAGACACTTCTCAAAAGAAGACATTTATGCAGCCAACAGACACATGAAAAAATGCTCATCATCACTGTTCATCAGAGAAATGCAAATCAAAAACACAATGAGATACCATCTCAGGCCAATGAGAATGGTGATCATTAAAAAGTCCATCCCACGCCAGTTAGAATGGCAATCATTAAAAAGTCAGGAAACAACAGATGCTGGAGAGGTTGTGGAGAAATAGGAATGCTTTTACACTGTTGGTGGGAGTGTAAATTAGTTCAACGATTGTGGAAGACAGTGTGGTGAATCCTCAAGGATCTAGAACTAGAAATACCATTTGACCCAGCAATCCCATGACTGGGTATATACCCAAAGGATTATAAATCATGCCACTATAAAGATACATGCACATGTATGTTTATTGTGGCACTATTCACAATAGCAAAGAATTGGAACCAACCCAAATGTCCATCAATGATAGACTGAATTAAGAAAATGTGGCACATATACACCATGGAATACTGTGCAGCCCTAAAAAAGGATGAGTTCATGTCTTTTGCAGGGACACAGATGAAGCTGGAAACCATCATTCTCAGCAAACTATCCCAAGGACAGAAAACCAAGCACCGCATGTTCTCACTCATAGGTGGGAATTGAACAATGAGATCACTTGGACACATGGCAGGGAACATCACACACCAGGGCCTGTCAGGGGTTGGGGGGCTGGGGGAAGGATAGCATTAGGAGAAATACCTCATGTAAATGATGAGTTGATGTGTGCAGCAAACCAACATGGCACATGTATACCTGTGTATCAAACCTGCACGTTGTGCACATGTACCCTAGAACTTAAAGTATAATAAAAAAATGCAATGAAAAAAGCAAAAAAAACTCATTGATTGTAGTGTCTTGTGTGTGCGTTACCAAAAAAAAGAGTATTATACTAGTTTATGTACAGTTTAAAAATCTTATAATATGCATACAATTCACCCCATCCTTTGTCATATTTTTAATTACATTTATTAATGTTCTAATCCCCACACACATATTTGTTTACACTGTTATTATTGACTGATGAATAAAATAATAAAATGCCCTCTGTGTGAAGCCCCAAAATTTGAGACAGGTCTCAGGTAATTTAAAAAGTTAATTTTGCTAAGGTTGAGGATGCGCATCCATGACACAGACTCAGGAGGTCCTGGTGACATTATGTCCAAGGTGGTGAGAGCACAGGATGGTTTTATACATTTGGGGAGACATGATACATCGGTCAACATATGTAAGATAAACATTTGTTCAGTCTGCTCCAGAAAGGAGGAACAACTCAAAGCAAAAGTGGGACAACTCAAAGTGGGGAGGAGGCTTCCAGGCCACAGGTAGGTGAGAGACAAACGATTGCATTCTTTTGAGTTACTGATTCACCTTTCCAAAGGAGGCAGTCAGACACGCATTTATCTCTGAGCAGAGGGATGACTATGAATAGAATGGGAGGCAGGTTTGCCCTAAGCAGTGCCCAGCTTGAATATTTCCTTTAGCTTAGTGTTTTTCGGGCCCTGAGATATTTCCTTGTCACATCCTTATCTTCATCTTTACCATTTTCTGGATTTTTGTTTGTGCAGATTCATGTTTCTGCTTGGTATTTTCTCTGCCTGAGGAAATGTGTTATGATGTCTTGTAATGCATTTTTACTGGGATGAATAATCTAAATGTTCTTTGTCTGAAAAAATTATGTCATTTTTGTGTTTATTATAGAGATAATTGTGAGCCCATTAAAAGAAAAATTCATCTCTCAAAATAGTTTGCTGTTTTCTAACACAACCATTTCTTACAGTTCCTATCTCTGTGCTAAAATTCCTCATTTGATCATCCGTAATGTCTCCTTTTTCCAATAGTGATATTGTTTGGATCTGTGTTCCCACCTAAATCTCAAGTTGAATTGTAATCCTCAGTGTTGGAGGTGGGCCCCAGTGGGAAGTGATTGGATCATGGGGGTGGAACATTCATGAATGGTCTAGCACCATCCCTTTGGTGCTGTTCTCATGATAGTGAGTTCTCAGGAGATGTGGTTGTTAAAAAGAATGTAGCACCTCCCCCATCTCTCTTCCTCTTGTATTGGCCATGTGAGGAGCTAGATTCTCCCTTGCCTATTCGATGATTGAAAGTTTCCTAAGGCCACCTAGCTATGCTTCCTGTACAGCCTACAGAACCATGAGCCATTTAAAGTTACCTAAAAATGTGCAACCAGCTTTTGCATTGGGTAACAGGCAGAGGTTGAAACAGCTTGGAAGGCTCAAAGGAAGACAGGAAGATGAAGGAAGAGTTAAAATTTCCTAAATAAGTGTTTAATGGGTTGTCACTAGATTGCTAATAGTGATATGGACACTGAAGAACAGGTTGAGGAGGTCTCAGATGGAAATGAGGAACTTATGGGGAAGTGGAGCAAAGGTCACCTTTGTTATGGATTAGCAAAAAACTGGTGGCATTTTGCCCCTGCTCTAGGGATCTGTGGAACTTTTGAAATTGAGAGCGATGGTTTCGGATTTTTAGTAGAAGAAATTTCTAAGCATCATAACATTCAAGATGGGGCTTGGTGGCTTCTAATAGCCTATGCTCATGTGTGTCAACAACAAAAAATTATGTAAAACTGGCCCTTATATTTAAAAGAAAAGCAGGGTATGAAAGTTTTGATAATTTGTAGCCTGGCCACATGGTAGAAAATAAAAACTCATTTTGTGGTGAGGAATTCAAGCCAGCTGTGCAAATCTGCTTAAGCAACAAGGAGCTGAATGTTAATATCCAAGAGAATGGGGAGGCCTCAAAGTCATCTCAGAGACCTCTGCAGTAATCCCTCCTCCCATCACAGGCCGAGAAGACTAGGAGGGGAGAATGCTTTCATGGACCACACCCAGGGCCCCACTGCCCTGTGCAGTGTCTGGACACTGCTCCCGGTAGCCTGGGTGCCCCAGTGCCAGCCTTGGCCCAAAGGACCCCAATATAGCTTGAGCCACTGGTTCAGAGGGTGCAAACCATGAGCTTTGGTAGCTTCCACTTGGTGTTAAGCCTGTGGGTGCACAGAGAAAGTGTTGAGGCCTCGGAGCCTCGGACTAGATTTCAGAGGATGTATAAAAAAGCATGGATGTCCAGGCAGAAGCCTGCTGCAGGGGTGGAGTCTTCATGGAGAACCTTTACTAGGGCAGTGCAGAGGGGAAATGTGTGATTGGCACCCCCACACAGAGTCCACCCTGAGCACTGCCTAGTGGAGCTCTGAGAAGAGTGCCACCATCCTCCAGACCCCAGAATCATAGATCCACTGACCGCTTGTAGTTAGGCCTGGAAAACGCGTAAGCACTCAGTGGCAGCCCACTGGGGGCTAAACCATGTAAAGTCACAGGGTTGGAGCTGCCCAAGGCTTTGGGAGCCCAACCCTTGCAGCAGTGTGCCCTGGATGTGGGACATGAAATCGAAGGAAATCATTTTGGAGCTTTAAGATTTAATGACTTCCCTGCTGAGTTTCAGACTTGCACAGGACCTGTAGCCCCTTTCTATTGCTGATTTCTCCCAAGTATTTACCCAAAACTTATGCCTCCATTGTATTTTAGAAGTAATTAACTTTTTTTTTTATTTTACATGCTGATGGGCAGAAGGGATTAGCCTTGTCTCAGATGAGACTTTGGATTGTGGACTTTTAGGTTAATGCTTCAATTAGGTTAATGCTTGGGGGACTGTTGGGATTGTATTTTGCAACGTAAGAAGGACATGAGATTTGGGAGGGGCCAGAGCAGAATTATAAGGTTTGGATCTGTGTCCCCACCCCAATGTCAGGTTGGATTGTTCCCCAATGTTGGAGGTAAGGCCTGGTGGGAGGTGATTGGATCATGGGGGTGGAATTAAATAGTGGAAAACAATGACTATTTAAAGTGGAATATGTTAGTAAATCTGAGAGAAAGTAGAAAACACTTAGAAAACATTTCAAATATTTAAAATGCTATAAAAGCAAGTCAAAAATCAGAAAAAAAATTGTATGCTAGAATGAAACATGGCATGTAAAATTATGTTTCAAAATTATTTACTAGGCTACTGCATGTTTTTACAAAATATTCATGATGCATTATTTGAAATCATTTATAAGAGAATGGCACAAAATTGTTGACCTCAACCTAAAACCTAAGTATAAATACAGATAAATATGTGGAAAGATCCACCTATAAATTTTATCAAGTATTATATCCACATTATGATGTTACTGGTATTATGGTATTATTTCATTACTGCTATTCAAGTTTTTCATACCTTTTATGTGTTTTCCAAGTTATTCTGCAATAAATAGGAATTATGCTCATGGTCAGAAAAAAAAAGATATCAACAAAAATGTATTTTTCTTTGGCAGAATTCTGATAAGAATAACTTGGAAAAGTGTAAAATTTGTTTTTGGCAGTTATTTTTCCTCTTTTGACTCCCTAAATCTATATATACTCAGCCTGTTCAGTTACACTTCTTGCCTTTCCATGTTCCTGACTACTAACCATAATAAATGTTAACTTATTATAAATTATGAGGATAAACAGATATATTCACATTAACGATGTGACAGATTACAGTATAGCAAGGAAGGTCCAGAATGAATGCATTAAATGCGATTTTTTTCATGTGCAGGGACTACAATACAGATCAAAACATCCTCAACACATGCTAACAGAACTGACATTTTATTGAAAAACACAGATAATTTTTTAAAACTGGTAAAATTCTTAGTATACACAGGAGTGCTAAATTATATGTATTTATGCTGATATATGTTATTACATTATATATTAAATGTTATTTACCATATTATTAAATAACATATATTTTTAGTCTTCTATAGATTGACTTTTATTATCTCAATGGTCTTCTTTGAAGACCAATTTTAATTTTTTCAAAGTCTATTTTATCAACTTATTTTTAATCAATTTTATGTTTATATTTTGATATCATATATAATTTAATGGTCAAAAATATTTTCTGTCATTTTTTTTTCATAGAATTTTATAGCTTGACATTTTGGCCTAAGAGTGTGTTAATTTCTGTATATGGTTTGAAATATGGATCAAAGTTCATGTTTTTCATATGTGTATCACATTTTCCCAGCATCATATTGTTTAAATACTATCATTTCTTCATTAGATTGACTTTACAATTTAGTCAAAATGAATTGGTGACATGTATGGGTAATTCTGGTCCTTCTATTTCTATTCATCCATCCTTTCTTGAGGCTCACACTACATTGGCTAAACTAGTTACAGAGTAAATCTGGAAATTACCAGTGTAGATTCTCCAAGTTTGAGATTCTCTTTCAGATTGTTTTGCATATTCTAGTTTATTCACCTTTTATATTAGCTTTGGAATCATCATGCTAATGTCTACAAATATTTTTCTGGGACATTGGCTGGAATTGCATTAACTCTATAGATCAATAAGACTCTATAAATCTATAGATTTGAATCCTTCAATCCGTAAATATGATACTCCTCTCCACTTAATAATTATTTACTTTTTAAGTGTGTTTACTTGCACTCTTAGCATACAGATATTTTTGGTTTTTAATTGATAACTGTAACAAACTGCCACAAATTTAGTTGTTTACACAACACAAATATATTAGAGTCTAAAGGTCAGAAATCTAAATTAGGTTTATCTCAGCTAAAATGAAGGCATTGGCAGGGCTTTGTTCCTTCTGTTGGCTCCAGAGGAGAATCTACTTGATTGTCTTTAGAAGATCATTCTTTGGCTCATGGACTTTACCTCCACCTCTATTGAATACTGTAGCATTTTCCAATGTTTCTCTTATTCTAACCACCTTCCTTCTACTTATAAGAACCCTTGTGATTATGTTGGACTCACCTAGATAATCTAGGATAATCCCAATCTCAAAATATTTAGTCATATCTGCAAATTTCCTTCTACCATAAAATGTGATGTTTTTGAGTTCAGGGGTTGCTCTGTAAACATCTTTTGGAGGGGGACTGTTATTCTGCATACCACAGAGATCCTATAATTTGTATTTAGAGTTTCACCTAAATATGTTATGTTTATATTATTTTATGTTTTAATTAGGTGGATTTAATCATTGTATAATATATACATATATCCAAACATCATGTTGTACACCTTAAATATATACAAAAGTTATGTCAGTTAAACCTTAATAAATTGGTAGAAACACGGATGAATGATACAAAAAAGTATTTCACTGAAAGAAAAACCACAAATAACAGTGAATAGAGTACTCTTTTGAGAAATCATAAAAGAGATATGATACTAACTAAATTCTCTTCTTTCGTTTTAGGATATGACTTAAAATTATATAAGTACACATGCATTCACTATAATACAGTTTTAGAAATTATATACTAAAAAGTGTTATCACTTTGGAAATTTCTATGTACATACAGCATTTCCAACTGACAGAATTTTTTTACTGTTCAGAATGTTCCCCCGCCCCCAATGAAAAAGATGCTATGTAATCTATTAGAGCAATTGTTTTAATATTGAAAAAGATACTTCAACTGATTGTTTTTTTACTTCCAGACATTAATGGTCTTAAACATATTCATCCATTCTGAACGTAACAAAACAAACTAAAATCCTGCCTGTAACCATATAGTAATTGTTTTTTATACTTTCTCCCTTTTGATGTATATGCTATAACCTCTATTTCCATTGGAATCAAATTTGTATTAATAACTTACTATTTATAACATTTTTAACACATTTCTGCAATATAAGTAGCTTATTTATAACCTACTTCTCAAAAATGCATACTAGTTTCATGCTGCAGATGGCCTCACACCATCCGGCACTTGTCTTACTCTTTTGCCCTCTCTCTCTTTTTTTGTGTGTTTGTGTGTGTGTGTATTTCCCTCTATCTCTCTCCATTAGGTTAAGAGTTAAGAAGTGTCAACACAAGAAAATGGGACCAGGCGTGGTGGCTCACGCCTGTGATCTCAGCCATTTGGGAGGCTTAGGTGGGTGGATCAGGAGGTCAGCAGTTCGAGACCAGCCTCATCAACATGGTGAAACCCCATCTCTACTAAAAATACAAAAAGTAGCCAGGTGTGTTGGGGCACACCTGTAATCCCAACTACTCGGGAGGCTGAGGAAGGAGAATCCCTTGAACCTGGGAGATAGATAGAGGTTGCAGTGAGCCCAGATCACACCGCTGCACTCCAGCCTGGGCGAAAGAGCAAGACTCTGTCACACACACACACACACAAAGAAAATGGGGAGAGAAGACTAGGAGATATCTCTTGAGTATCAATTCCATCATACCCTTCCATTGTTCATACATATTCTTAAAAAACGGGGAAAAAAGATAATGAAAAAGAGTGAAATATTCTTGGGTGGACTATGCTTAATCCTTCATAAATTGGTGACTTAAGGCTTTGAAAGGTATTTTAAAAGTCAATGAGAAAATGTTTTAGTCTTTGACAGAAAATGGACGCTGTGGATCAGCAATGAAGGGACCTGAGAGGCAGGAGAGTCTTTTGGGAGCGCTAAAGGAGAATCCTTGCAAATGATGACTAGTTGATAAGTGAAAAAAGTTTAGAGAATTTAGGAATCTGGAGTAAAGCATTCCAGCTGACGAAGAATGGCTGTGGCCTCTATCCAATGTATTTCCTATTTGAGCCAAGCCTCATTTGGCAAAAATAAATTCTTAAGGAACCTAAGTGCATGCGTTTTCTCAGGAGTCCACAATTCCTATGTACAGTCGTCTAGAAGGCACAAAAAGTTCCTTGAAGTGTAGCCCAGCACTGAGGAGTGGGTGCACAGGATGCAAAACAGGCATCACCATGCTCGCAGCTACACCCCCATCCTCAGGGACACCACATATGCAGTGCATGCTGTACATTACCCTTCTCAGAAAGGTGAAATTTATATTTTAGTTCACATAAATGACACCTCCCTGTGAAAGGCACTGTACGCTGAATGGCTGAATGTGGCATCCCAGACCAAATGCTCCCTTTTCATGCTGTTTTTATTCAAGTCCCTATAGGTGTATGCCTTCGCATGGCCACCAAGATTTATGCCAAGGGACAATGCAACTTGTAACCCCCAGCACTCCCCTTTTCATCCTGCCCCGAGTGAGATTTTGACATGCAGATTTTTGTTTTGTTTTTGTTTTCAGATGAAGTCTGGCTCTGTCACCCAGTCTGGCATGCATTGGCGTGATCTCAGCTCACTGCAACCTCCGCTTCCTGGGTTCAAGCACTTCTCCTGCCTCAGCCTCCCGAGTAGCTTAGGTTAAAGGCACACACCACCTCGAATGGCTAATTAACACGCAGATTTTTAGACTGATCAAGAATAGAGCTTTTCACTTCATCTCTTCCCCAAAGGCGAGTAATCCTTGTCTGAATTATCCCATTAGTTTTCACGTTAATTTGCTTGTCTCATTAAAAATCCTCAAAATCAGGCCAGGCACAGTGGCTCATGCCTGTTATCCCAGCACTTTGGTAGGCCAAGGCTGGTAGATCATCTGAGGTCAGGAGTTTGAGACCAGCCTGGACAACGTGGTGAAACTCCATCTCAACTACAAATACAAAAAATCAGCCGGGTGTGGTGGTGGGTGACTGTAACCCCAGCTAATCTGGATGCTGAGGCAGGAGAATCATTTGAACCCAGGAGACAGAGGTTGCAGTGAGCCGAGGTTGTGCCGTTGTGCTCCAGCCTGGGCAACAAAAGTGAAAATCCATCTAAAAAAAAAAAAAAAAAATCTTCAGAGTCGGCCGGGCATGGTGGCTCATGCCTGTAATCCCAGTACTTTGGGTGGTCCAGGTGTGCATATCACTTAAGGCCAGGAGTTTGAGACCACCCTGGCCAACATGGTCAAACACCATCTCTACTAATAATACAAACTTAGCGGGGTGTGGTGGCTCGCGCCTGTAATCACAGCTACTCAGGAGGATCACTTGAACCTGGGAGGCAGAGGTTGCAGTGAGCGGAGATAGTGCCAATATACTCCAGCCCGGGTTACAGAGTGAGACCCTGTCTCAAAAAAAAAACAACAAACAAACAAAAAAACCCCAAAAACTTTTAAAATTACAGTTAAGTAGGCAGGGCCAACCACTCACCAAAGCTCTCTATGGTCCTAAAACTCCAGCTGTGCTGCACAGACCCTAATTCCAATGGAAAAACCACAGAATACAACCACCTGGATCCAAACTACTAGAGAAGAGTCAGACAGTACCAGGTTGGAGAGAGCAGAAATTTAATTTCTTCTTCAGGCTATGCAGTGGGAAGAACCCATAGAAATTAATACGAGAGACAGACAAGACAGATAATGGGCTGGAAGACAAGAAATGCTATTTAATTTTTCTTAGTTCCATGGTTCTTTATAGTACATTTATTTGGGCTCAGTCTCTCTCTCTCGCTGTGTGATTAACAATTAATAGTGCTAGGATTTTTTAGCTTTAATATTTACTGTTTGCATTAATATATTTTCCATCCTTTTACCCAACTTTCACGTAGGTCTTCATATTTAAAATGGTTTCGTTTTAGAAAGTGTACAGCTGTTTCTTATTTTTACATAATTTGACAGTGTCTCTCTTAATTGAAGCATTTATATCATTTATTATAATTATTTATGTACATGCGTTTAAATCTACTGGCTTTCTAGTTGTTTTCTGTACTTCATCCTTTTGTAATTCCTAATTTTCCTGTTTTTCTGCCTGATGGTAGATTTAGTATTTTTATCATTCAGTTATATTTTCTGCACTCTTGGCTTATTAGTTGGTCACTTTAAAAGAATAGCGGTTGCTCTGGAGTTTTCAGTGTTCATATTTAATTCATCACAGTCTATCTATCTTCAAAGAATATTTTACTAGTTTATGAACCCTGAACATTTGAGACAGGTCTCAGTTAATTTCAGAAGTTAATTTTTCCAAGGTTGAGGATGCACACCCATTACCCAGCCTCAGGAGGTCCTGAGGGCGTGTGCCCAAGGTGGTCAGAGCACAGTTTGGTTTTAAATATTTTAGGGAGACATGAGACATCAGTCAAAATATGTAAAATGAATGTTGGTTAGGTCCGGTCCAAAAAGGTGGGACAATTCAAAGTAGGGAGGAGGCTTCCAGGTCACAGGTAGATGAGAGAGAAATGGTTGCATTCTTTTGAGTTTACTGATGAAGGTTTCCAAAGAAGGCAATCAGATAAACATTTATCTCTGTGAGCAGAGGGATGACTCTGAATAAAATGGGAGGCAGCTTGAATTTTCCCTTTAACTTAGCGATTTTGGGACTGAGATATTTCCCTTTCACATCCATATCTTCATCTTTACCATTTTCTGGGTTTCGAATTTTTATGTGGTGATTCATGTTTCTGCCTGGTATTTTATCTGCCTGAGGAAATGTGTTAACATTGTTATATTTATAATGGGGTGAAGAATCTAAATGTCCTTTGTCCAAAAAAATTATCTTGTCATTTTTGTGTTTATTATAGAGATAATTGTGAGCCCATCAAATGAAATATTTATCTCTCAAAATAGTTTGTTTTGCTTTTTTCTAATTGTAAATTTCTAAGAAATTTACAGTTCCTATCTCTGTGGTAAATTTCCTCATTTGCTTGTAATCGACTAATGTTTGAAGTGGCTCCTTGTGGGAGTTGTTTGGATCATGGGGGTGAAATTCTCATGAATGGTCTGGCACCATCCCTTTGGTGCTGTTCTCATGATAGTGAGTTCTCACGAGGTCTGCTTGTTAAAAACTGTGTAACAGCCGGGTGCAGTGGCTCACGCCTGTAATCCCAACACTTTGAGAGGCCAAGGCAGGCAGATCATGAGGTCAGAACATCGAGACCATCCTGACCAACATCTTGAAACCCCCTCTCTACTAAAAATAACAAAAATATTAGCTGGGTGTGGTGGTGTGCGCCTGTAGTCCTAGCTACTCAGGAGCCTGAGGCAGGAGAACCACTTGAGCCTGGGAGGTGGAGGTTGCAGTGAGCCGAGATCGCACCACTGCACTCCAGCCTGGCGACAGAGTGAGACTCCGTCTCAAAAAAAAAAAAAAAAAAAAAAAAAGTGTGTAGCAACTACCCAACCTCTGTTTTCCTCCTGTTCTAGCCATGTGAGGTGTTAGCTCCTCTTTTGAATCTGCCATGGTTGAAAGTTTCCTGAGGCCTCCCAGCCATGCTTCCTGTACAGCCTAAAGAACCATGAGCCAAATAAAGATACCTAAAAATGTGGCAACAGCTTTTGAATTGGGTAACGGGCAAAAGTTGACACAGTTTGGAAGGCTCGGAGGGAGACAGGAAGATGAAGGAAAAGTTGAAATTTCCTAAAGAATTGTTAAATGGCAGTCATTAAATTGCTGATAGTGATATGGACACTAAAGGCCAGGCTGAGGAGGTCTCAGATGGAAATGAGGAACTTGTTGGGAAGTGGATTAAAAGTCACCTTTGTTATGGATTAGCCAAGAAACTGGTGGCATTGTGCCCCTGCCCTAGGGATCAGTGGAACTTTTGAACTTGAGAGTGATGATTTAGGGTTTCTGGTAGAAGAAATTTCTAAGCAGCATGGCATTCAAGATGGGGCCTGGTTCCTTCTAATAGCCTATGTTCAATTATGTCAACAACAACAAAAAAAATGATGTAAAACTGGCACTTAAAAGGAAAGCAGAGTGTAAAACTTTTGAAAATTTGCAGCCTGGCCACATGGTAGAAAATAAAAACTCATTTTCTTGTGAGGCATTGGAGCCAGCTGCGGAAATCTGCATAAGTAACAAAGAGCTGAATGTTAATACCCAGGACAATGGGGAAGTCACTGAGGCATTTCAGAGACCTCTGCAAGTAGCCCTTCCTCTCATCACAGGGCAATAAGCCTTGGAGGGGAAAATGCTTTCATGGGGCACACCCAGGGCCCCACTGCCCCGTGTAGCCTCGGAACACTGCTCCCCATATCCTGGGTGCTCAAGCGCCAGCCTCAGCCCAAAGTGTCCCTGATACAGCTTCAGCCACTAGTTCAGAGGGTGCCAACCATGAGCCTTGGTGGCTTCCACCTGGTGTTAAGCCTGTGGTACACAGTAAAGAGTTGAGACTTGGGAGCCTCAGCCTAGATTTTAGAGGATGTATGAAAAAGCAAGGATGTCCAGGCAGAGGCCTGCTGCCGAGGTGATGCCCTCATGGAGAACCTTCACTAGGGCAGTGCAGAGGGGAAATGTGGGGTTGGAGCCCCCATGCTGAGTCCACACTGGAGCACTGCCTAGTGGAGCTATGAGAAGAGGGCCACCATCCTCTAGACCCCAGAAGGGTAGATCCACTGACAGCTTGTAATTGGGCCTGGAAAAAGCATAGGAACTCAATGCCAGCCCATTGAAGGTTGAACCCTGCAAAGTGACAGGATTGGAGCTGCCCAAGGCTTTGGGAGCCCACTCCTTGTGCCAGTGTACCCTGGATGTGGGACATGAAATCGAAGGAGATCATTTTGGAGCTTTAAGAAGATTTAATGACTTCCCTGCTGGGTTTCAGACTTACACAGGACCTGTAGCCCCTTTCTATTGGCTGATTTCTCCCAATTATTTAACTACATTGTGTCTTAGAAGTAATTAACTGTTTTTTGTTTGTTTGTTTTTCTTTTTTACAGGCCCACAGACAGAAGGGATTAGCCTTATCTCAGATGAGATTTTGGACTTGGACTTTTGAATTAATCCTTCAATGAGTGAGTTAAAGCTTTGAGGGACTGTTAGGATTGTATTTTGCAATGTGAGAAGGACATGAGATTTGGGAGAGGCCAGGGCATTATTATAAGGTTTGGCTCTGTGTGTGTCCTCACCCAAATCTCAGGTTGAATTGTAATCCCCAGTGTTGGAGGTGGGGCCTGGTGGGAGGTGGTTGGACCATGGGGGTGGAATTCTGGTGGAATTAAATACTGGAAAAAAAAAAACACTAAAATGGAATTGTTTAGTGAATCTGAGAAAAAGTAGAAAAGACTTAGAAAACATTTAAAATATTTAAAATGCTATAAAAGTCAGAAATCAATCAGAAAAAAATGTATGATATAATGAAACGTGGTACATAAAATCATTTTTCATAAAATATTCATGATGCATTATTTGAAATCATTTATAGGAAAATAGCACAAAATTGTTGACCACACCTAAAACATAAGTATAAATACAGATAAATATGTGGAAAGATCCACATCTTAATTTTATCAAACACTGTATCCACATTATGATGTTAATGGTATTATGCTATTATTTCATTACTGCTTTTCATGCTTTTCATACCTTGTATGTGTTTTCCAAGTTGTTCTTCAATAAATAGGAATTACCCTCATGGTCAGAAAGATATCAATAAAAATATAATTTGCTCTGACAGAATTCTGATATAAGAATAACTTGGAAAGATGTAAAATTTGTTTTTGGCAGTCATTTTGCCTCTTTTGAGTTCCCTAAATCTATATACTCAGCCTGTTCAGTTAGAGTTCTTGCCTTTCCATGTTCCTACTAACCAAAATAAATGTTAATTTATTATAAATTATGAGGATAAACTAATATATTCACATTAACGATGTGACACAATTATAGTATAGCAAGGAAGGTCCAGAATGAATATGTAACCATTAAACCAGATTTGTTCATGTGTTGGGACAACACAGATCAAAACCATCTCAACCCATGCTAACAGAACTGACATTTTATTGAAAAACAGATAATTTTTAAAAAGTAAGTAGAAAAATTCTTGGTATACACAAGAGTGTTAAATTATATGTTCTTATTTATGCTGATATATGTTATTTATTATATTATTAAATTACATGCATTTTTAGTATTCTGTAGTTTGCATTTTTGTTATCTCAGTGGTCTTATTTGAAGACAAAGTTTGACTTTTTAAAAAAGTCTATTTTTAATCAATTTTATTTTTATATTTTGATATCATAGATAATAATTTAATGGCCAAAAATATTTTCTCTCATTTATTTTAATGAAATATGATAGTTTGACCTTTTGGCCTAAGATTGTGTTAATTTAATTTCTGTATATGGTTTGAAATATGGATCAAGATTCATATTCTTCATATATATATCACATTTCCCAGCATCTCGTTGTGTAAATATTAATATTATTATTTCATTTCTTCATTAGATTGACTTTACAGCTTAGTCAAAATGAATTGGTGACATACATAGATATTTCTGGTCTTTCCATTCAATTTGTCCATCCTTCAGTACCACACTATATTGGCTAATCTAGTTAGACAGTAAAGCTGAAAATTACAAGTGTAAATTCTCCAGCTTTGTGATTCTCTTTCAGATTGTTTGTTTTGGATATTTCAGATTGTTTGTTTTGGATATTCTAGTTTATTTGCTTTTATATCAGTTTTAGAATCATCATGCTAATGTCTACAAATGTCCTTCTAGGACATTGGCTGGAATTTCATTAACTCTATAGAGCAATAGAACTCTGTAAATTTATAGATTTGAATCCTTCAATCGATAAATATGATACTCCTCTCCACTTACTTAGTAATTATTTGATTCTCTTAGTATATTTACAGATGTTTTTGGTTTTCTACTGATACTGTAAGAAATTGCCACAAATTTAGTTGTTTACAACAACACAAATTTATTATGTTAGAGTCTAAAGGTCAGAAATAATATAAATTAGCTTTACCTCGGCTAAAATGAAGGCATTGGCAGGGCTTTGTTCCTTCTGTTGGCTCTAGAGGAGAATCTACTTGATTGTCTTTAGAAGATTCTACTTGCTTCCTCCATTCTTTGGCTCATGGCCTTTATACCTTTTCCAATGTTTCTCTTATTCTAACCACCTTCCTTCTACTTATAAGGAACCCTGTGATTATGTTGGGCTCACCTAGATAATCTAGGATAATCCCAATCTCAAAATATTTAATCATATCTACAAATTTCTTTCTACCACAAAATGTGATGTTTTTGAGTTCAGGGGTTACTCTGTAAACATCTTTTGGAGGGGGACTGTTTGTTTGTTATTCTGCATACCACAGAGATCTTGTAATTTGTATTTAGACTTTCACCTAAATATTTTATGTTGTGTTTTAATTAGCTTGATTTAATCATTGTATAATATATACATATATCCAAACATCATGTTGTACACCTTAAATATATACAAAGTTGGTAGAAACACGGATGAATGATACAAAAAAGTATTTCTTTTTTTTGTTATTATTTTTTTATTATACTTTTTAAGTTTTAGGGTACATGTGCACATTGTGCAGGTTAGTTACATATGTATACATGTGCCATGCTGGTGCGCTGCACCCACTAACTCATCATCTAGCATTAGGTATATCTCCCATTGCTATCCCTCCCCCCACCCCACCACAGTCCCCAGAGTGTGATATTCCCCTTCCTGTGTCCATGTGATCTCATTGTTCAATTCCCACCTATGAGTGAGAATATGCGGTGTTTGGTTTTTTGTTCTTGCGATAGTTTACGGAGAATGATGATTTCCAAATTTCATCCATGTCCCTACAAAGGACATGAACTCATCCTTTTTTATGGCTGCATAGTATTCCATGGTGTATATGTGCCACATTCTCTTAATCCAGTCTATCATTGTTGGACATTTGGGTTGGTTCCAAGTCTTTGCTATTGTGAATAATGCCGCAATAAACATACGTGTGCATGTGTCTTTATAGCAGCATGATTTATAGTCCTTTGGGTATATACCCAGTAATGGGATGGCTGGGTCAAATGGTATTTCTAGTTCTAGATCCCTGAGGAATCGCCACACTGACTTCCACAATGGTTGAACTAGTTTACAGTCCCACCAACAGTGTAAAAGTGTTCCTATTTCTCCACATCCTCTCCAGCACCTGTTGTTTCCTGACTTTTTAATGATTGCCATTCTAACTGGTGTGAGATGGTATCTCATTGTGGTTTTCATTTGCATTTCTCTGATGGCCAGTGATGGTGAGCATTTTTTCACGTGTTTTTGGCTGCATAAATGTCTTCTTTTGAGAAGTGTCTGTTCATGTCCTTTGCCCACTTTTTGATGGGGTTGTTTGTTTTTTTCTTGTAAATTTGTTTGAGTTCATTGTAGATTCTGGATATTAGCCCTTTGTCAGATGAGTAGGTTGCCTGTTCACTCTGATGGTAGTTTCTTTTGCTGTGCAGAAGCTCTTTAGTTTAATTAGATCCCATTTGTCAATTTTGGCTTTTGTTGCCATTGCTTTTGGTGTTTTAGACATGAAGTCCTTGCCCATGCCTATGTCCTGAATGGTATTGCCTAGGTTTTCTTCTAGGGTTTTTATGGTTTTAGGTCTAACGTTTAAATCTTTAATCCATCTTGAATTGATTTTTGTATAAGGTGTAAGGAAGGGATCCAGTTTCAGCTTTCTACATATGGCTAGCCAGTTTTCCCAGCACCATTTATTAAACAGGGAATCCTTTCCCCATTGCTTGTTTTTCTCAGGTTTGTCAAAGATCAGATAGTTGTAGATATGCGGCATATGCGGCATTATTTCTGAGGGCTCTGTTCTGTTCCATTGATCTAGATCTCTGTTTTGGTACCAGTACCATGCTGTTTTGGTTACTGTAGCCTTGTAGTATAGTTTGAAGTCAGGTAGTGTGAAGCCTCCAGCTTTGTTCTTTTGGCTTAGGATTGACTTGGCGATGCGGGCTCTTTTTTGGTTCCATATGAACTTTAAAGTAGTTTTTTCCAGTTCTGTGAAGAAAGTCATTGGTAGCTTTATGGGGATGGCATTGAATCTGTAAATTACCTTGGGCAGTATGGCCATTTTCACGATATTGATTCTTCCTACCCATGAGCATGGAATGTTCTTCCATTTGTTTGTATCCTCTTTTATTTCCTTGAGCAGTGGTTTGTAGTTCTCCTTGAAGAGGTCCTTCACATCCCTTGTAAGTTGGATTCCTAGGTATTTTATTCTCTTTGAAGCAATTGTGAATGGGAGTTCACTCATGATTTGGCTCTCTCTCTGTTTGTCTGTTGTTGGTGTATAAGAATGACAAACTATCTCTCGGACCACAGTGCAATCAAACTAGAACTCAGGATTAAGAATCTCACTCAAAGCCGCTCAACTACATGGAAACTGAACAACCTGCTCCTGGATGACTACTGGGTACATAACGAAATGAAGGCAGAAATAAAGATGTTCTTTGAAACCAACGAGAACAAAGACACAACATACCAGAATCTCTGGGACACATTCAAAGCAGTGTGTAGAGGGAAATTTATAGCACTAAATGCCCACAAGAGAAAGCAGGAAAGATCCAAAATTGACACCCTAACAACACAATTAAAAGAACTAGAAAAGCAAGAGCAAACACATTCAAAAGCTAGCAGAAGGCAAGAAATAACTAAAATCAGAGCAGAACTGAAGGAAATAGAGACACAAAAAACCCTTCAAAAAATCAATGAATCCAGGAGCTGGTTTTTTGAAAGGATCAGCAAAATTGATAGACCACTAGCAAGACTAATAAAGAAAAAAAGAGACAAGAATCAAATAGACACAATAAAAAAATGATAAAGGGGATATCACCACCCATCCCACAGAAATACAAACTACCATCAGAGAACACTACAAACGCCTCTACGCAAATAAACTAAACTAGAAAATCTAGAAGAAATGGACACATTCCTCGACACATACACTCTCCCGAGACTAAACCAGGAAGAAGTTGAATCTCTGAATAGACCACCAGGAAGAAGTTGAATCTCTGAATAGACCAATAACTAACAGGAGCTGAAATTGTGGCAATAATCAATAGTTTACCAACCAAAAAGAGTCCAGGACCAGATGGATTCACAACCGAATTCTACCAGAGGTACAAGGAGGAACTGGTACCATTCCTTCTGAAACTATTCCAATCAATAGAAAAAGAGGGAATCCTCCCTAACTCATTGTATGAGGCCAGCATCATTCTGATACCAAAGCCGGGCAGAGACACAACCAAAAAAGAGAATTTTAGACCAATATCCTTGATGATCATTGATGCAAAAATCCTCAATAAAATACTGGCAAAACGAATCCAGCAGAACATCAAAAAGCTTATCCACCATGATCGAGTGGGCTTCATCCCTGGGATGCAAGGCTGGTTCAATATACGCAAATCAATAAATGTAATCCAGCATATAAACGGAGCCAAAGACAAAAACCACATGATTATCTCAATAGATGCAGAAAAAGCCTTTGACAAAATTCAACAACCCTTCATGCTAAAAACTCTCAATAAATTAGGTATTGATGGGACGTATTTCAAAATAATAAGAGCTATCTATGACAAACCCACAGCCAATATCATACTGAATGGGCAAAAAGTGGAAGCATTCCCTTTGAAAACTGGCACAAGACAGGGATGCCCTCTCTCACCACTCCTATTCAAGATAGTGTTGGAAGTTCTGGCCAGGGCAACCAGGCAGGAGAAGGAAATAAAGGGTATTCAATTAGGAAAAGAGGAAGTCAAATTGTCCCTGTTTGCAGACGACATGACTGTATATCTAGAAAACCCCATTGTCTCAGCCCAAAATCTCCTTAAGCTGATAAGCAACTTCGGCAAAGTCTCAGGATACAAAATCAATGTACAAAAATCACAAGCATTCTTATACAAAAAAGTATTTCACTGAAAGAAAAACCATAAATACCAGTGAATATAGTACTCTTTTTGAGAAATCCTAAAAGAGATAGTACTCTTTTTGAGAAATCCTAAAAGAGATATAACTAAATTCTCTGTCTTTGTTTCATTTTACGATATCACTTATTTAAGTACACATGAATTCTCTCTAATACAGTTTTAGAAATTATATGCTAAAAAGAGTTATCACTTTGGAAATTTCTACACACATACAGTATTTCCAACGGACAGAATTTTTTTTTATTATTCAGAATGTCCCCCCGCCTCCAATGAAAAAAGTTCTATATATTCTATTAGTACAATTGTTTTAATATTGAAAAAGATACTTCAACTGATTTTTTTTACTTCCAGACATTAATGGTCTTATACATATTCATCCATTCTGAACCTAAAAAAACAAACATAAACTAAAATCCTGCCTGTAACCATATAGTAATTGTTTTTTTATAGTTTCTCTCTTTCGGTGTATATGCTGTAACCTCTATTTCCGTTGGAATCAAAATTGTATTAATCAATCACTTACTATTTATAACATTTTTAAACACATTTCCCCAATATAAGTAGCTTATTTATATATAACCTACTTCTAAAAAATGCATACTAGTTTCATGCTGCAGATGGCCTCACACCATCTGGCACTTGTCTTACTCTTGTGCACGTGCGTATTTGCCTCTTTCTCTCTCCATTAGGTTGAGTTAAGAAGTGTCAACACAAGAAAATGGGGCCGGGCATGGTGGTTCACGCCTGTAATCCCAGCAATTTGGGAGGGTGAGGTGGGTGGATCACGAGGTCAGCAGTTCGACACCAGTCTGACCAACGTGGTGAAACCTGGTCTCTACTAAAAATACAAAAATTAGCCAGGTGTGTTGGCGCACGCCTGTAATCCCAGCTACTTGGGAGGCTGAGGCAGAAGAATCGCTTGAACCCGGGAGACAGAGGTTGCAGTGAGCTGAGATGGCGCCACTGCACTCCAGCCTGTGTGAAAGAGTAAGAAAGACTCCATCTCAAAAAAAAAAAAGACAGAAAATGGGGAGAGAAGACTAGGAGATATCTCTTGAGTAACAACTCTATCATACGCTTCCATTGTTCAAACATAAAAAACAGGGAAAAAAGATAATGGAAAAGGGTGAAATATTCTTGGGTGGACTACGCTTAACCCTCCATAAATTGGTGACTGAAGGCTTTGAAAGGTATTTTAAAAGTCTATGAGAAAATGTTTTAGTCTTTGACAGAAAATGGACACTGTGGATCAGCAATGAAGGGACCTGAGAGGCAGGAGAGTCTTTTGGGAGCGCTAAAGGAGAATCCTTGCAAATGATGACTTCTTGATAAGTGAGAAAAGTTTAGGAATCTGGAATATAGCCTTCCAGCTGACGAAGAATGGCTGTGGCCTCTATCCAATGTATTTCTTATTTGAGCCAAGCCTCATTTGGCAAAAATAGATAAATTCTTAAGGAACCGAAGTGCATGCGTTTTCTCAGGAGTCCACAGTTCCTATGTATAGTCATTTAGAAGGCACAAAAAGTTCCCTGAAGTAGCCCAGCACTGAAGAGTGGGTGCACAGGATGCAAAACAGGCATCACCATGCTCGCAGCTACACCCCCATCCTCAGGGACACCACATATGCAGTGCATGCTGTACATTACCCTTCTCAGAAAGGTGAAATTTATATTTTAGTTCACATAAATGACACCTCCCTGTGAAAGGCACTGCACACTGAATGGCTGAATGTGGCATCCAAGAACAAATGCTCCCTATTCATGCCGTTTTTTTTCAAGTCCCTATAGGTGTATGCCTTGGCATGGCCACCAAGATTTATGCCAAGGGACAATGCAACTTGTAGCCCCCGGCGCTCCCCTTTTCATCCTGCCCCAAGTGAGATTTTAACATGCAGATTTTTGTTTTGTTTTTGTTTTTGTTTTCAGATGAAGTCTGGCTCTGTCGCCCAGACTGGCATGCATTGGTGTGATCTCGGCTCACTGCAACCTCCCCCTTCTGTGTCTAAGCACTTCTCCTGCCTCAGCCTCCCAAGTAGCTGGGATTAAAGGCACATACCACCGCGAATGGCTAATTAACACACAAATTTTAGGCTTAGCCAGAATATAACATTTCACTTCATCTCTTCCCCAGAGATGTGTAATCCTTGTCTGGATTATCCCATTAGTTTTCGCGTTAATTTGCTTGTCTCATTAAAAATCCTCAATATCAGGCCAGGTGCAGTGGGTCACACATATAATCTCATCACTCTGGTAGGCTGAGGCTGGTGGATCATCAGAGGTCAGGATTTTGAGACCAGCCTGGACAACGTGGTGAAATTCCATCTCTACTACAAATACAAAAAATTAGCCGGGTGTGGTGGTGGGCAACTGTAACCGCAGCTGCTGAGGCAGGAGAATCACTTGAACCCGGGAGGTGGAGGTTGCAGTGAGCCGAGATCATGCCACTGAATCACTTGAACCCGGGAGGTGGAGGTTGCAGTGAGCCGAGATCATGCCACTGCACCCCAGCCTGGGCAACAGAGTTAGTTAGACTCTTTCTCAAAAAAAAAAAACAAAAAAAAACTATATATATATATATGTGTGTGTGTGTGTGTGTGTGTGTGTGTGTGTGTGTGTGTGTGTGATGTACACAAATAATCATGAGCTGAGGCAAATTAAAAGACCTGGATTCTTCTAGCTCTGGCCCTTGATAGCATGTAGAAGTCAGACCACATGATCGTCAAGACCGAGTGTTTCTATGTACCATTCTCATTCATCTACTAAACATAACCCCTGAAAGACAGACAGAGAAGCACATAGCTCAGTGTTAGTGCTGAGTCACGGTCAAGGAGCCATAGTTCACTGAACAGAATGATTCTAAATATCTCAAGCATTTTACTGCATTTTTTGAATTCCATGAAAAGCAACCAAAGTTAGATTCTACAGAAATATTTATATATATCAATCAATCAATCAATCAATTTAGCTTTTCTCTTAAGTATTTGGGCCCTTGAGCTATCTCCCCAAAAAGTTCTCAAGGGGAAAAAAATACACAGACACAATACTCCCTCCTTCAAACACCAGTACAGGTACTACTTCTCTTCCTCTGCATCACCCACCCCTCAGTAGCTTCAAAGGAGTCTTTCCAGCAACCTGGCACATCATAGCAGGAGATTCTAAGACCCACTGCTCCATGAAACCACATACACAGACACATATACGCCCAAGTAAACAATATTAAAAAGAATGAGAATACAACAAAATATGAATACAAAAAAACTAACCATAAACAGAATTGATAAGCCATCGAAAGAACCCTAGCAATACACAATGCAAAGTTCCAACAACATATGTGCAAATTAATATGCAAATTAAAATATAACCGAAATCACACAGTGAAATCCAAATAACAACAAAAAGAAAATACAAAATTGCAAGCAATGTACGTAAAGAAATACCAATCAAAACACCAATGACCAAGAGCATGGCAAATCTGAAAACAAATTCAAACAAACACATATAATCCCAAAGGAGCCAAAGTCAAACAAACAAAGCAAAACCATACACATGAAATAAACTGATAAGAATAGCAAAAGCAAAACAAAAACAAAACAGAGATCCAACCTCAAACAAAAACAACATAACAAAATCCTCATGCTACATGCCCCGTGCACACACAAATGTATGGGCACATACACCAAAGTGCACACAGATACATGTATTACTCCCCCCATCACCATATAAACACAAACAAATGTGCTAGAACACATGCTAAAAACTCACAATCACCAACAAATATATCAGGGTATCTGAGCCTCAAAGCCCAAGGAAATCCTATGAGTGCAAGAAGGATGGAAATAGATACGATGAAGGGTAGCCACATGTAGTTGAATGGTAATACTATTAGGAAAGAAAGTAGAGTAGTTTTCTTCTATTTCATTGTAACCTACATTTCCCATCAAGTTCTTGAGTTGGGGAGGGGCATGTGGTTGTTTGGAGATGGGAAACAAACTCAAATTACACAACCCATATTTGCCAACACTTGACTATAATTTGATAGGGTTTACCTGAAAGGAGGCATCAAGCTCTCTCACATTTTTCAGCACAGAAGTGTAAAAGACTCACTGCTCCAGTCGTGTCTGTCTGTCTCTTTCAGTCTGGCTCTGCTTGATTGTCTTTCTCTTTCTCTTTCTCTTTCTCTCGTAACAGCCATAGTTTAAGAAGAGATATCTTGAAAACACGGAAAGAGAAAAGTCAATACAATATTTCCTAATTTTTTAAGAGGTCAGAGAAGGGAGTTACTGTGTGGCCTGGAGCAGGTGATTCTGACTACCAAGGGAAAATTGGAGTACTACTCCACAATGGAGGTAAGGAAGAATATTTCTGAAATACATAAGATGTCTCTTAGTATTACTATGCCTTGTGATTAAGGTCAGTAGAAAACTACAACAACCCAATCCTGGCAGGACTACTAATGGCCCAGACCCTTCAGAAATGAAAGTTTGGGTCACTCTACCAGGTAAAATATAATGGCTGAGGTGCTTGCTGAAGGCAAAGGGAATACAAAATGGGTAGTGAAGAAAAGTAGTTGTAAATACCAGCTAACACCAGATGACAGTTACAGAAATGAGAATTGTAGTTCCCATGAGTATTTTCTACTTATATTTTTATTAATATACTTCTGTGTTTTCTTGTCTCTCTTATCCCCTTATCATGTAACGTAAGGTGTACTGATATTATATCATAGTTATTAACCGTTGTTAACTTTAAATAATCATAGTATTGATGTTATGGAACACCAAGGAGAAGAGTAAACAAACAACACTCCAGGACTTTATCTCCTCTTCTGGTGAAGTGGTTCATGAATTCTGGGTTGTATAAATGGTAGTTGTATCTTATTAAATGAAATTATGACCTTGGTATTTTTCTCATTTGATGATTAAATATAATTTAAGGAGATGCGTATAAGTGACAACATGACAAGGAGTGAACTTGTGATGATTAATTCTATATTTCAACCTGACTGGGTCATGGAGTGCCCAGACATTTGGTCAGTCATTATTCTGGGTGTTTCTGTGAAGGTCTTTTTGGATGACATTAGCATTTAAATCAGTAGAATGAGTAAAGCAGACCACCCTCCCTAATGTGGATGGATGGGCCTGCACCAATCAGATGAAGGTTTAAATGGAACAAAAAGGCTGACTCTCCCCTAAGTTAGAGAGAATTCCTCCTGCCTGACTGCCTCCAAACTGGGGCATCTCATTTTTTTCTGGCATTGTACTCAAATTAAAACATTAGCTCTTCCTGGGTCTCAAACCTGCTGGCCTTTGGACTGGAACTACAAAATGGTTTGTTCTACTGCTTCTTTGGCCTCTGGACTTGGACTGCAACTATACCATCAGTTCTCCTGGGTCCCCAGCTTGCTGACCCATCCCCCTGCAGATCTAGGAACTCACCAGCCTCCATAGTTGCCTGAGGTTATTCCTTGCAGTATCCTTATAATAAATATCTTAAGGGATTTATTTTAAAAATAGACTTCTATAATAATTATATACATATATATTTGCTCAATCATTGTCCTGGGTGTTTCTTTGAAGGTCTTATAAGACCTGATCCAGAATCTGAGGGTGCCTGGGGTACCTGTGAAAAGTATGTCCTGTAGGTTTTTTAAGCATTTATTCCTTTTTCTCCACAAAAGGACTACAAAACA
Organism: Homo sapiens; assembly: GCF_000001405.40. NCBI lineage: Eukaryota > Metazoa > Chordata > Mammalia > Primates > Hominidae > Homo > Homo sapiens. The sequence goes on from NC_000023.11 coordinate 147,229,902, forward strand.
CTGGGAACAAGATTTGAGGTAGGAACATGATCCTTTTTCTGCATCCTTTTCCTTTTTCTGTGAATGTCATATGTATGTGTGTGTGTGTGTGTGTGTGTGTGTATATATATATATATATATATATATATATATATATATAAAGGGATATATAAACCCCTTTGTATATGTAAAGTTTCCAGAAGTATATGTACACACATGTTCATACATATATGTTCTCATCACTTCATCCGTTCCCATAATAGTTAAGACCAGCTAAAAACATATAAATAGTTCAAATGAAAGCAAATTTGGGGTATCATATCAAACTCCACTGATATGAGATTATCATCACGGATACACAGGAATATTAAAGGGAATTTGAGTGTATCTAAGCCTTGAGGAGATCACTTCATAAGAAAGATGGTTCATGGAGTTTGGAGTTCAGCAGGGAAGGGCAGGAGGATATTTGTGCTCCCTAAAAAGAAGGCTTAAATATTGTGAGGAAAGAAGATCAGTGTAAACTTCTCAGGGGTTTATAAGGCAAGAAGTGTATTTGGGTTGTTATAGAGAGAAAAGACTAAGAGGTACAAGAGAAAAAGAAGTATCATGTTCCTACCTCAAATCTTGTTTCCAGTGTAGTCAGTCATTTTGTGGAGAAAAAGCAATAAATAATTGAAAAACCTACATGAGAGACTTTTCCCAGGCACCCTCAGATTCTGGAGCAGATCTCTCAAGAGGTACTTCAGAGAGTACCTGGAAATGGCTCATCACTAAAGGTTGGGTACCAAGGCTCAAGGGAGGGCAGTATTGTCACTGAAATTCCACTCGTCATTACCAATGCCACCACAAATGTTGTCCATGTTGCACATTACTCTACTCAGAAGGGTGCCTTACAAATATTAATCTATTAAGTAACACCTTCCTGAATAAGGCACTACACATAGTATGGCTGATGGTGGTGGCACTGACCATCTTAATAGTAACACGGGGAAACTACAGATGAGGCTATTCCCAGAGAACCTCATCCTCTAGGTTTTACCCCACAGAATTCTCTTTAAAGGGTTGTATGAGTTGACCCATCACTGAGTGGGTAGTTCTGACTTGTATCTGTTGTGCATTATTTCACTCCAAAAGGTGCAAAACATATTTCTAGACACATGCATGGCACTTCTTGAAGTGAAGCACTACACACAGCACAGCGGAAAATGTCCCTCACTCCGCCATTTCAGTCAGAATCCCAACACTCTCAGTCCACTAGGAATAAGCAGAATATAGTCAATAGATTAAAAAAAAAACAAACCCTTTTTCCTCTCCCTTTTGTCTCCTATGTCTTTCACTGAATGCTTATTAATTACTTCACCTGCTGCACATTTAATGAGACAGATTTTAGGAGAGAGAAAATTTTCCCTCTTCCTCCCAGACTTAGCATACTTCACTAAATTGTTCTGCTAATTTTCAATTTAATATAGTTGGCACATGAACAACTACTTCATATGCCTCAAAAGCCAGTCATTACATAGAAAGGACCACTCAAGTGACTCATCATATCTAGCGATTGCAGGCCAGATAGAGCTCAGTTGAAGCAGTGCTGGAGAGTTCTCTTCTTTCCAATTTGAATCTTCTTTATATCATTGGGGCCTTGGTTTGGCATCCTCTGTTCAGAGATGAAGGCCTACAGCAGCAGAAGCAGTAGTCACCACAGTCATGCACTTGCAAACCAGTGTTTAGACCAAGAAATATCTGCAACACATGTGAACACATGCATGCCACACATGCAAATAAACATGTGAACAATGAAACAAACAACCCCAAAACGAATGCTCACAAAATAGGGCAATGCAAACACAAAGACAAACACTGCATGATCTGACTCATACGCAGAGTCTAAGAAAGTTGATCTCATAGGAGTAGAGAGTAGAATGATGGTTACCAGAGTCTGGGGAAGGGAAGGGAAAGGGGGGTTGGGGAAAAATTGGTTTATGGGTACAGAGTCACAGTTAGGAGGGCTAAAAGTTCTGATGTGTTATTGTGCAGAAGAGTGATTGATTATAGTTAGTTAACAATATTTTATGGTATATTCCAAAATCACTAGAAGAGAGGGTTTTGAATGTTCTTCCCACAAAGAAGTGATGGACGTTTGAGGTAATGAAAATACTAAATCCCTGATTTGATTATTACACAATGCATGTATGTATCAAAACATCTCACTATATCTCATCAATATTTACAAATTATTATGTGTCAACTAAAAAAACAATAAAGGAGTAACAATTTTTTTTTTGAGACAGAGTTTTGCTTTTGTTGCCCAGGCTGGAGGGCAATGGCACAATCTCAGCTCACTGCAACCTCCGCCTCCTGGGTTCAAGCGATTCTCCTGCCTCAGCCTCCCACGTAGCTGGGATTACAGGCATGTGCCACCAGACCCAGCTAATTTTCTGTATTTTCTGTAGAAGCAGGGTTTCACCGTGTTGACCAGGCTGGTCTTGAACTCCTGGCCTCAGGAGATCCACTGGCCTCGGCCTCCCAAAGTGCTGGGATTACAGGCATGAGCCACCGTGCCCAGCCGGGAGTAACAATTTTTAAGAATGTAAAAATACTACTGAAAATTCTAATTAACACACATTTAAAAACACCATTCAAAATCGGAATAAAAAAAAACACACAAAATATACAAAACACATCCAAATATACAAAATTCTACAGGAAACAAAAACCCTAAAAAAGCAAACAAGCAATACAATAACAAAAATCAAAAAGAACATACACAATACAAAAACCCCCAAAACATAAAAACAAATACACTAAAATGTAACTTTACTTTCCAATAATCCCAAACAAAACAGAGAACGAAGTTCAAAGGAAATCTAGCACGTATCAGGGATAGACGACACTGCACTGAGAAATGCTGCGAGTGTAGGAAGGAGAGCAGTGGACACTGAGAAGTAAACAGATGAGGTATCATAATAAACAATGATAGAAAACAAAGTAGAACAGTTTCCCACCTCTTCACTACAGCCTGTATTTCCTCATGACTTTGGGTGAAGTGAGGTATTTGGCCACTGCAAAAACAAAATCCACACACATCATCAGTTGCCAACTAGACACCAAGAAAGACATGATTTGAAAGAGCTTTCCTGGGAGATAATGTAGCAGCAGACTATCAAATTCTATCCCATCCTCTGATATGGACATGTAACATTTACACCTTGCTTCCCAGGTCGTGCTTCCTGTGGGCTCCAGGAATTGGTTCTCCCTCCCCCTCTACTTTCTCCTCCCCCTCCCTCCCCTTCTCCTTCTCTCTCCCTCTTCCACCCTCTCCCTTCTCCCCTTTCTCCTCTTCCCCTCCCCTCTCTTTCTCCTTCTCTCCTTCTGCCTCTCCATACAGATATTTTTATATCAAGGTTCATAGCTACGTCTTTTCTAGTAGTCAAAGCCAAAATAGCTATAAACTGGAGACAAATGGCCATTAACAGGTGAATGCATTTAAAAAAAACTGGAATATCCATACAGTGGAATACTACTCATCCATAAAAACAAATAAATTATTGATGCAAATAACAATGTGGACGAATTTCAAAATAATTATGCCAGGAGAAATAAGCTAGGCCAAAATAAACAGTATATACAGTATGATTCCATTTTAATAAAAAATTTTGGCCAGGCACCGTGGTTCATGCCTGTAATTCCAGCGCTTTGGGAGGCTGAGGTGGGAGGTTCAGTTGAGGTCAGGAGTTTGAGACCAGCCTGGCCAACATGGTGAAATCTCGTCTCTACTAAGAATACAAAAATTAGCTCAGCATGGTGGTGTGCGCCTGTAGTCCCAGGTACTCGGGAGGCTGAGGTAGGAGAATTGCTTGAACCTGGGATGCAGAATTTACAGTGAGCCGAAATCACGCCACTACACTCCAGCCTGAGTGACAGAGAGAGACTCCATCTCAAAAAATAAAAAATAAGAATCTGGAAAATAAAATCTAATCCATAGTGAATAAAAGCAGATTAGTGGCTGCATGGCTCTGTGGTTATGTGCAGAAGACCGAAAATGAGGATCACAAAGAGGCAGGAGGAATCTTTCAGGGAGGATGTATAATATTCCCTATTTATTTTGATTTAGGGGATGATTTCATGGGTGTATAAACAGAATATGTCAAAGCGCAAACTTTATGTCAGTCATGTATCAACGACGCTTTTTAAGAACTAAAGCTATCACAATACAAAAATCTCAAAATAACAAACACATGCTCATACACACAATTCAAAAAAACCATATAAGCTAAAAAAAAAAAATCAATCAACAAATAATGCAAATTATCCCTAACAAAAGAAAGAAATTTTAGCCTTATGTACCAAAACTTCTATAAATGATTTTTTAAAAAGTAATGAATCAGAAAAACAGGGCACAAATAAATAAAAACTAAAAAGTAAACCAATAATATATTTTTAAACCCCTATCAACAATCATCCCAAATTAGAAAAGCTCAACAAACAGGATTAAAATAAATAAATAAATCAACTACAACAAATTCCAAACAGAATCAATACATGAACTTATCAATTAGAAAGCATGTTGCAAATACCAAACCATGTAAGCATACACACAGATACTGAGGCAAAACATTTAAAATCCAAGCAAACTCCCACAACTTAAAAAAAAAAACACATCCCCAATAAAGCGCACATATATATGAAAGACAAAACTTTCTGAGCCCCACACAATTAAAGGGGAAAAAATAACTACAGCAACAAAACAAAATTCATACAAATTTAAATATCCCAAAACACAAGGAAAATGAAGAACCCCCCCCCCCCACACACACACACAAAATAAAACAATAAACACAAACTGAAACTAAAAATACATGGAAAATAACAAAATACTTTAAAGAAGTCAACATCATTCAAAAATAATCACAGAAATGCACGCATACACACCCACATCCATCCACCCACCCACCCACTCACATATACACACAAAAAGTCAGCTGAAAAGCAAATAGAAATACACTAGAGAATAAAACAAAGAAAGATATAGCAAAACAGCAGGAAAGAAACAAACATGTCTAAATACACAAAGGAAACTACAACTAAAACAACTCCCAAGCACCTCTCAGTACAAATCAAACCAAACGCATAAATTAAAACCAAATCAAAACCAAAGAAGAAAACTCAGATTGGAACCAACAACTAATAATTAAATCATGACAGCCCCCTCCCCCCGAAACAGGAATAAAACATTTGCTGAAACACAAACCACAATTCTAACTTAAAAAAAAAAAAAAACTTCAAGTATGCAACGAAACAACAAGCAGAGGTGCCATGAACACTGAATTGCAAACAATAAAAAATCACACTGTACCCCCAAAATATGTACAATGATTATGTGTCAGTTAAAAATAATAATACAAGCAAACAAAATAAACAAATAAACCTAAAAAGGAAGAACCAACTTTGAAAAATAAATGCACAGAGACTGGAAATGAAAGGACAATTATAAACAAAATAATATCACAAAAAACAAAAACAAAACCAAAATCAGACAGTTACCAATGTCTGGATAAACAATATTACTAAGCAAAAACAATTTGAAAAGTCCCCCCAAACCCAACCACAATATGCACATGAACGAATCAACTAACTAAATTAACTCATTTGTAAAAACCAACACACACATACTCACACACAAACTCACACCTTCTCAAAAATAAGCACAAATTTGAGAACAATTTGCAGTGGTGCCACTGTCACTGCCCCAGACACACATCTAGGGTGGTGAGACTTTCTGCCCAGGAAAACTCTTAGAGCTCATGAAATAGGGAAGAAGATACCATGAGCAGTAGACACTGGTTGTACACAGGCGATAATGTAGTAGTATTAGTGATATAAGAGAAGAATACCCTTCCTCTTGATTACAATCTAAATTTTTGCCAAGATTTGGAACGGAGTGAGACATGTCACTGACTCGAGATGACAACAAAATTCCATAAACTTCAACTTGCCCACTTAAGGTGCTTTATGAGAATTAATCCGGAAGGGGTCACCAGGATGATTACCCTCCAACCCCACTCCACCTCCATTTTTCCAGCACCGTAGTGTGTACAACCTGCTTCCTAGTCACTGCTCCAGTCTGAAGATGTTCTCCAGGGATCCGGCGCTGGCCATCTTTTGTCTGTGATTCTCAAGTTTTCTTTCTGAAGACCTTAGGTTAAGAAGGAGCAACTGAAGGGAAGTGGAAGGGAAAAGACAAATATATATGTTATCATTCTCAATAATCTGAGATGAATACCTTCACTTCTTTTTATTCCTTCATATAATTTTAAAAATAAAATGTTAAATATAATTCAAAGAAAACTAACAAAACAAATATTCTAGGCAACTTCTTAACCTTTTATAGATATGTTGAATTTAGAAAGGACTGATATACACATATTTTCAATAAATATTTTTTAAAATATACATATAAATATTTTTTAAAAATATATACATAAATATTTTATATATATATATATTTTTTTTTTAACCAACAGATAGATAATTTTGGAAATAATGTATTTTTCCAAGTAAGGAAGAACACACAAACTCTTAAGGAAAGGCTTGTCTTCAATCCTGAAAGAGCAAGAGCTTTTTGGTGCAGAGGGATGCTTCTGAGGCAGGAGGGAATTTGAAGAGCCCACTGGGAAATGAAAAGGCTTGGAAGCTAAAAGAAATGTTGTGAGGAAAAATACGTTGGAGGTTTTTCAAGGCAAAATGAATAGTTGGGCTCTGTAGCAGTAGAAGCTCTGAATATAAAAAGAGGAAAAGCCACATCCTCACTACAAATTTTCTTACCTGTGTGGGCATGCCTCCTTTGGACAAGGGTATATAAATCCCCGGAAAGCCTACATGGGTGATTTTTCCTGGGAGCCCTCAGTCCCTAGGATTTGCCTTTCAAGACCTGCCTATGGGAGTCCATTGAGTTAGCCCAGCAAGGGGAGGGTGGTGCTTGGACACAAGGGAGGGCAGCTCTGTGCATGCGGCTGTATACACTCACACCCATGGCCACCAAATATGCGTTACGTGATGTGTATTACTCTACTCCAAAAGGCTACAATCATGTTTTAGTTTACATGAGTGACGCCCTCTGGAGTAGGGCACTACACTCAGCTGAAGGTGGTGGCTCTACCCAAATATATACGTGAAGTTTAGATACGATGAAGAATTTCTAGTATGTTTGCCACTCCATTCCCATTCTCTAACCATCCTTTAGTGAGGATACTCTTACTTGCTGCATATTTCATGTGCTGATTTTGAGGACTTCTTCTCTTCAGTCGGCAACAAATAATCTCACCAACATTTTCCTATGTATTTTCAAGTCATTAGGAATGGCATATTAAAAATGATTTGTGTTCCACCAGTGTTAAAGGTCTCCCCACCCTCTGTGCCCCCAAATTCCTAGTCCCTTGGTTCAGAGTTATTTAACTTTTAACACCAAAACAACAGAGAGAACAAGGTAAACATGCAGAGAATTCAAGCAAAAGAGATAGATCATTTAGGCAGTGCCAGGATTCATAGGACAAAAATCTCATTTTCTCCACCATTCCTGGGGATTATACAGATCATTTACCTTGCCTGGAATCATTTCCAAGAGAGCAATTGGCTTAGAACCTAGTTATATCTTATTCTTCCTTCTCAGCCCTGGACTTTCTCAACATTTCCTAGAGTTCTTGTCAAGAGGGTCTCTTTCAAAATTTTCATTTGGAGACACAGGCCTCCCAGGAATCTATTTTTTCCTTTCAATACTGAGGCTGAAGAAAGGGGGAAGCAAGTAGGAGTAAGAGATCCACAGACCCCAAACTAGTTATATTTTAAGAGCTAGGGAGCCAAGTTAAACAAAAGACTGTAAAGAGAGAGGGAGGTGCACTGAATAAATTAAAGGATTAGCTAAATTACTTGCCATGGAGCAAGAGAAAGGGAGATTATGGTGTGGGACATTTAATCTGGACATGTCCAGGTCTCCCAGCATTCAGGAACCTCCACCAGTGTCAGTAGTCCAAAATGACCCAAGTCTACAGCTACACACCAATAAATCAAAACTCAAACAAAAATATTTCTAAAATCAATTCTACCTCATAAATAAGTGAAACAATGCTCAATATCACTAATTAGGGAAATGCAACCAAAACCACAATGTGATACGACTTCACACCCATTAGAATCAATATTATCAACAAGCAAACAAACAGAAAATAACAAGTGTTGACAAGTGAAGAAATTATAACCCCGTGCATTGCTGGTAGGAAAGTAAAATGGCACAGTCACCACAGAAAACACTATGGTGGTTCTTCAAAAAATTAAAGATATAATTACCATATTTCAGCAATTGCAGTATTGGGTATATACCCAAAAGAACTGAAATCAGTATTTCAAAGGGACATAGTGCCCCCATGTTCAAAGCAGCATTATTTATAATAGACAAAAGGTAGAAGCAATACAAGTGTTCATCAACAGATAAAGTGATATGCAAACTGTGGTATATGCATACAAGGAAATGTTATTTGCCCTACAAAAGGAAATAATTTTCTTTTTAAACTGGGTTTCCTTATGTTGTTCAGGCTAGAATCTAACTCTTGGACTCAAGCGATCTTCCTGCCTCAGCCTCTTGAGTAGCTGGGACTACAGTCATGTGCATACATGTCCAGCTTAGAAATAAAATTCTGACACATGCTATAACATGGATTAACCTTGAAGACAATATGCTGGGTAAAATAAAGCAGTCACAAAGGAATACTACTGTATGATTTTATTCTATTCAGTCCCTGGAATAGGCAAACTAGGAGAGACAGAAAGTAGAATAGAGGTTACCAAGAGCTGGGAATGGGGAGTCAGTGTTTAATGGTTACAGAGGTTTAGTTTGGGATAATGAATCATTTCTGGAGATGGATTGTGGTGATCATTGCACACCACTGTGGATTTACTTAATTCCACTGAATTTTACACTTAAAATGATTAAAATGGTAAATTTTATGTTTATATACATTTTACAATTAAAAAAAAATTAACCTCCAAATAATTCCAAATACCTCTGAAAATATAAGAACCCACCCCCAAAACAGATACCAAAACTAAAACAATCAGTAATAAAGCAAAAAAATACGGCCACGAAGCAAAATAAAACCACTCTAAGTAGATACATGTTGTACAGTGTTAGCAACACTAGTAGATAAAATAGAAGATACTTCCTCTTCTTGATATTAACCTAAATTCCCATTTAAGGTGGGCAACAAATTTCCTTTAAAAGAAGTTATGAAGTAAACCGCCTGGTGTGGATTAAAAGAAGAGATGCATCAGAAAGCCCCATTTCCTAACACAGGAAGGTAAAATATATAACCCGATTCCCAGACAAGGTTCCTATCTTGCTTATGGTCACCAGGCCTCTGAGACTTAAAGCTTACAGCTCTCTTTTGTGCTCTTTGTACTCTCTCACTCTCTCTCTCTCTCTCTCTCTCTCTCTCTCTCTCTCTCTCTCTCTCCCTCTCTCTCTCTCTCTTCTCCTTTCTGTCCCATCCACGAGGTTAAGTGGAGACATCAAACAGAAAATGTGATACAAAAACTCACTTAGCACTTCATCATTATAAGACTCTCTAAGGACTGATCCCACCTTGACATTATTCTTTTCACATATAAACCTGAGGGAAAAAGTAACAAAAGTACAAGTGTCAGAAAAGAATAACCGTTTTGGGAAAATTGAATTATTTGGTAATATCATATAAGATCCAAAGTATATCCAAAGGAACTGAACACTCGTAGGTCTATGAAGAAAGAAGTGGCTTCAACCCAGAGATTCAATAGAATTTTTAAAACAACAACTTTATTGCAGTATCACTGATAGATTGAAAACTGTATATATTTAATATATACAGTTGATAAGTTTGGACACACCAATGAAACCATCACTACAATCAAGGTAATAGATAGATACATTCATCATCTCCAAAAGTTTCCTTCTGACCCTTTGATTTTGATTTTGTTTTTCTGTGGTAAGAATGTAACATGAGATCTACACCTTAACATAATTTTAAGAACACAATACAATATAATTAATTATAGGTCCTGTGTTATACAGCAGATTTCTATAACTTTTTTTATCTTGCATAAGCAAAACTCTATATCCACTGAAAAACAATTACTCATTTCCCTCTTCTCCCAGTGTCTGGCAACCACCATTCTATTCTCTATTTCTATGTGCTTGACTGTTTCAGATGCCTCATATAAGTGGAATCATACAGTACTTGTCCATCTGTGACTGGCTTAATAAGTTGATTCAAAAATGGACAAGGTACGTGAATAGAAATTTCTCCAAAAAAGACACACAAATGTCCAACAGGTATATGAAAACAAACATACTCAGTATTAGGAATCATTAGGGAATGCAAATCAAAACCATAATGACGAATCATACTGCACCTGTTAAAATGGCTGTAATTCAAAAAAGATAAATGTTGGTGGGTGTGGAGAAAAAGTAATCCTTGTTGTGTTAGTCCATTTTCATACTGCTATAAAGAACTGCCCGAACTAGGTAATGTATAAAAGAAAGAGGTTTAATTGACTAACAGGTCCGCATGGCTGGGGAGGCTGTTTCCACTTTGCCTTCCACAATTATGGTGGAAGGGGAAGGGGAAGCAAGGCACGTTCTTCACAAGACGGCAAGAAGGAGAATGAATGCACGAGGAACTACCAAACACTTATAACACCAGCAGATCTCGTGAGAACTATCATGAGAACAGCATGGGGGAAACCACCCCCATGATTAAATTACCCCTTCCTGGTCTCTCCCTTGACTGACATAGTGGGATTATGGGGATTATAATTCAAGATGATATTTGGGTGGGGACACAAAGCCTAACCATATCCCTTGTACACTGTTGGTGGTAATGTAAATTAGTATAGTCATTTTTAAAAACACTATGGAAGTTCTTCAAAAAATTAAAAACAGCACAACTATACCAACCAACCAACAATCCGGCTCCTAGGTATATATCCAAAATAATTAAAATCAGAATCTTGAAGAGATGTTTGCATTCTTATATTTATTACAGCATCATTAACAATAGGCAAAATATAAAAGCAACCCAAATTTCCATCAACAACAGATGAGCAGATAAAGAAAATGTGGTACATACATACAAATTAAATATTATTCAGCCTTAGTAAACAAGTCAGTTCTACCATTTGCAACTACATGAATGAATCCAGAGGATATTAGGCTACATGAAATAATTCAGAGTTTTGGTGTACATATGGAGGAAGCTGAGCAGCTGGAGAAAATTTAGAAAGAAAGGAAAGTTTTGAAAAGAGTGAAAGGAACTGTCAGGTGACCAATGGTTAAGAGTTTGGGGGGAAAGAGAAAATTGGGTTCTACAGAGAAGACAAACAGTGATAAAACAAACAGGGGAGCTATGTTCTCCTAGCAAGTCTTTTTTTCTTTTTCTTTTTCTTTTTTAAGGGACAGGGTCTTGCTCTGTCACCCAGGATGGAGTGAGTGGCATGATCATAGCTCACTGCAGACTCAAACTCCTCGGCTCAAGCGATCCTCTCATCTTAGCCTACCAAGTAGCTGGGACTACAGACATGTCTGCCATGACTGGCTAATTTTTATTTATTTATTTTTTTTTTTTTCTGTAGAGGTGGGGTATCACTATGTTGCCCACGCTGGTCACAAACTCCTGGCCTCAAGTGATCCTCTAGCCTCAGCTTCCCAAAGCACTGGGCTTACAGGCATGACCCATCATGACTGGCCCTCTTAACAAGTTTTTTTTTTTTTTTTGAGACGGAGTTTCACTCCTGTCACCCAGGCTGGAGTGCAGTGGCGTGATCTCAGCTCACTGCAACCTCAACCTCCTGGGTTCAAGCGATCCTCCCACCTCAGCCTCCCAAGTAGCTGGGATTACAGGAGCCCACCACTACGCCCAGCTAATGTCTGTATTTTTAGTAGAGACAGGGTTTCACCATGTTGGCCAGGCTGGTCTCGAACTCCTGACCTCAGGTGATCCACCCACCTTGGCCTCCCAAAGTACTGGGATTATAGGCGTGGGCCACCGCACCTCGCCTTAACAAGTCTTATTTCTATTTGGTCAGGCCATTTTTGAAGAAAGAAATGTAAATCACCAAATCACCTACTTTGGAGGCTTCAACTATGGGATCTTAGTCTTGATGTTTTGCATCTTAGAAGGCACTTAAGAAAGTTTTTTGAGATAGACCGACCAGTATTGAAGTGGAGGAAGGGTGCCTAGGCTCCAAAGAAAGCAGCTCTCCGCATGCTAATAAACACCACCCAGTCTCAGTGCTACCATCCATGTGTATTTGTTGTGCATTTACAGCCAAAATGGGGTTATAGGAAACTAATTATCCTCAGACCTGAACCAATTAAAAAACTGACAAAATATAGGGAACAACAGTTTATAAGACTTTACCAGAAATCAGGCAGTGAAGGACAGTAATTCCTGAGAGATGGAAAATAAACTGTAAATATTATTTGTACATATTAGCAATGAACAATTGTAATAATTTTTAAATAATACCATTTAATCTAGAACAAAAATTACATAGTTAGCTGTAAATAAGTGGAGAAATATACTGTGCTTATGGATTGGAAGAAACAGTGTTGTAATATATCAAATCTTCCCATGGGGATCCAGAGATTCAGCACAATGTTAATCAAATTCTAACTAGAAATGTTTGTAAATATCAACAACTTTATTCGAAAATTTATATTTTTATTATGTAAGTTTAAGGTATAATTAAAATGTTTTGGTATAGATATATATAAAGTAAAATGATTACCACATGCAAACAATTTATAATATCTCACACAGTTGGCTTTTTGTGGCAAGAACACCCTAAAATGTTTATGGAAAGACAAAAAAATAAGAATAGCCTAATCAATTTAAGAAATAGGTACAAGGCCGGGCGCGGTGGCTCACGCCTGTAATCCCAGCACTTTGGGAGGCCGAGGCGGGCAGATCACAAGGTTAGGAGATCGAGACCATCCTGGCTAACACAGTAAAACCCCATCTCTACTAAAAATATAAAAAATTAATTAGCCGGGCGTAGTGGTGGGCGCCTGCAGTCCCAGTTCCTCGGGAGGCTGAGGCAGGAGAATGGCGTGAACCCGGGAGGCGGACCTTGCAGTGAGCCGAGATTGCGCCACTGCACTCCAGCAGCCTGGGCGAGAGTGCGAGACTCCATCTCAAAAAAAAAATAGGGACAAAGATGGACTAATATTTTGATTCAAGACTTAGCTATAGTAATCAAGACAATGTGGTATTGGCAAAAGGAGAGAGAGAAAGAGATTAATGGAACAGAATAAGGAGTCCAGATATAGACCCACAAAAATACAGTGAAAATGTTGGTTGTGGATTAGCTAGAGATATCACATATTTCCAGAGTGTGAAATAGTACAGCCACTTTGAATGTCTGACAGCTTCTAATAAAATTCAACATACATCTATGTAAGGCACAGCAATCCCACTCCCAGGTATTTATTTACCATAGAGAAATAAAAATGTGTGTTCACACACAAAAAAAACTCAATGTACTCAAATGTTAATAACAGTTAAATTTTTGATTGCTACACATTGGAAGCAATGCAAGTATCCTTCACCTGGTGAATAGATAAACAACACTTGTGATACATCCATATAATGGAATACTATATAGTAATAACAAGAAGCCCACAGAACTTCATGAATATCAAGTACATTATGCTATGTGAAAGCCAAATATAAAAAGACTACATTCTATATGATTTCACTTGTCTGAAGTTATTGGAAAGAAAACTATATGGGTAGAATGCAGATCAGTGGTTTCTAAGGTCTAAAGGTGAGGGAAGGCAATTGAATGCAAATGGACGTAAAGGAATTTGGGGGGGTGGCAGAAATATTGAAGTGTCAGCTACATTATTAAATATGTTTGTAAAAGCTCATTAAATCGTACAAATAATTATGATGAACTTTGCCGTATGTAAGTTGTACTTCCAAAAGCTGATTTTAAAAAAACTCTTCACAGGAAAATAATGGCAAAAACATGCAAAAATATTACTCTGCTTCAACCATCCCAAGCCCAAATGTCCTTCCTTCTTCTTTTTCTCCATCCTCTCTTTTAGTAACCTCAAAGTACTCATTTTAACAGTTTTATAGATTTCCAGAATATCTGAGACTCACTGCTGAGCAAAACCCTAAAGAAAATACTCACAAACAAGCAAACAACAAGTAAAATCAACAATAAAAAGAATAAAAGCAAACTCAAGCAAAAGAATCCCCAAAACATATAAAGAAAATTTAAAAAATACGAAAACAAATGACTCAGAGAATCTCTCTCTCTCTCTCTCTCACACACACACACACACACACACACACACACACAGAGTAAACCCAAACAATTATAACTACAACAAGAAAAAAAATACTGAAAATTCTAAACAATATAAAACCCTACATCAGTGAAAACAAAATAGCAAACCAACAAAAGCTGAACACACAAAATAAAGTGAGACAAGTGGCTGGGAATAAACAGGAAAAGTGACAAACATCAGTTGCCAACTCAATGCTCTTTTGTGATTTAAAGGCTGGGTACGTCTGGATATACCTAATTTCCCAGTATGAGAACACACAATACACAAAGTACTTCCCACTAACTTCTTCAATCCTGCAATGGTGTCCAGGACAGCGAAATGTTTGCTGTCTGTTATCTGTGTTTTTCTCTCTTTGCTAGTCTCTTAGGGGAAGCTGAATTAAGATAGGATTCCTTAAGAAGAGAAATAAAAGTCTATGAAATATTTATTCAGTTCCAAAAGTCTGAGAAGTAAAACCTCTCATCACTTCAACAAATTATGTTTGACACAAAATGTACTCAAAAAAAGTTAACACAATAGAGAACTCAGAAATAACTCAGCACACCTACAACTATCTGATCTTCGACAAACCTGACAAAAACAGCAATGGGGAAAGGATTCCCTATTTAGTAAATGGTGCTGGGAGAACTGGCTAGCCATATGCAGAAAACTAAAACTGGACCCCTACCTTACACCATATACAGAAATTAACTCAAGATAGTTTAAAGACTTAAATGTAAAACCCAAAACTATAAAAACCTTAGAAGAAATTCTAGGCAATACCATTTGGGACATAGGTACAGGCAAAGATTTCATGATGAAGATGCCAGAAGCAATTGCAACAAAAGCAAAAATTAACAAATGGGATCTAATTAAACTAAAGAGCTTTGGCAAAGCAAAAGGAACTATCACCAGGTGAACAGACAGCCTACAGAATGGAAGAAACTTTCTGCAATCTATACATCTGACAAAGATCTAATATCCAGAGTCTACAAGGAACTTAAACAAATTCACAAGAAAAAACCAAACAGCCCCATTAAGAAGTGACCAAAGGACATGAACAGACACTTCTCAAAAGAGGACATACATGTGGCCAACAGACATACGAAAAAAAGCTCAACATCACCCATCATTCAAAAAATGCGTATCAAAACCACAATGAGATATCATTTCACACCAGTCATAATGGCTATTACTAAAAAGTCCAAAAATAACAGATGCTGGCAAGGTTGCAGAGAAAAAGGAATGCTTCTACACTGTTGGTGGGAGTGTAAATTAGTTCAACCATCGTGGAAGACAGTGTGGTGATTCCTCAAAGATCCAGAGGCAGAAATACCATTTGACCCAGCAATCCCAATACTGGGTATATACCCAGAGGAATATATTCATATAAATCATTCTGTTATAAAGACACATGCACTCGTATGTTCACTGCAGCACTATTCACAATAGCAAAGACATAGAATCAACCTAAATGCCTATCAATGATAGACTGAATAAAGAAAATATGGTACATATACACCATGGAATACTATGCAGTCATAAAAAGGAATGAGATCATGTCCTTTTCAGGGACATGGATGGAGCTGGAAGCCGTTATCCTCAGCA
Organism: Homo sapiens; assembly: GCF_000001405.40. NCBI lineage: Eukaryota > Metazoa > Chordata > Mammalia > Primates > Hominidae > Homo > Homo sapiens. The sequence continues at coordinate 147,245,851 of NC_000023.11, forward strand.
AACTAACACAGTGAAAGAAAACCAAACAAAAAAAAAAATGAATCCTGAAACACCTAGAGGGATTAGAGGGGCCCTCAAATCCTAGGTCTGGACTCTCCAGAGGCACTTAAGAGTCTTCTGCAAGGATAGCAATTTGGCCAAAATGAGTACATCTATGTGTAGACGACAGCCACACCACCTCCCCACAGGGCCACCACATGTAGTTGTACATGTTGCGAATTAAAGTGACTATCATATTTTAGTACACCTGATAGCACCTTTTGGAGTGCAGTACTGCACAAAGCAGGATTAAATGTAGCAGCCCTGCCCAAATGCTCCCCAATCATATTACTTTCATACAGTTGCTTTATGCTTCCAGCACATATGTAGCCCTTCAGATTATATAAAAGACCTATGAAACATACACCCCTGTTACCCTCACTCTGTCATCCCTCCCTGCATTAGTATCTCCTCACCTGCTGCATGCATGATTTGCAGATTTTCCGGTTGAGAGAGAATAATTATTTTTTCTTCTCTCACTCAGGTTAGGTATATTCTCATCTGTGTTAATCTGTTGAATTTCATTAGAAGTGATATTTATGTATTATTTACTTTCCTCCAAAGTTGAAAGGATTCATCAACATACCTACATCATCCTTCTCTATTCCAAACTTCCACCTGAAATTTCCACAACCTTTTGTGAAAGGCAGAGTTCTAAGATAGTCCTGAAGATGAGCCCCATGCACATGCCCTGTATAATCTCCCCTTTAGGGAGAGCAGGAGCTTTGACTTTCACAGAATTTCACTCCCATGATTATGTTATGCTGTACAGCCAATGGAAAGTTACAGATGTAATTAAGGTCACTGGTCTTCTGAATTAGATTTAATCAAAGACAGAGTAGAGTATCTTGAGTGGCCCTGACCTAATCACATAAGCTGTTTAAAAGAGGATATAGAGACCAGCAATAAGAAAAAGCAGCCTTGAAGAATCAAATTGCCATATTGTGGATAGAGTGACATGATAAGCAATGGCAAGTGGCATTCTTGGAGCTGAGAGCCTCAGTCTTAGAGCTGCAAAGAAATACCTTTTTGCCAATTTTGAAGAAGTCCTTGAGCCCCAGATGAGATCACAAGCCTAGTTGAAATCTTGATTTCAGTCTTTCAAGACCTTAAGCCAAGGACCCTGCTAAACTATGTACAGACCCCTGACTCATGGCAACTGTGGGATGATAAATGTGTACTGTTTTAAGCTGCTTAAATTTGGAGTAATTTGTTATGCATATATTGAAAATTAATACACCCTTGGAGTTTCATACCTTAATGAAAGAACAAACTGCTAAGAAGCATAGAAAACGTGCAGGAATCTCACGCGAGAGAAGTAGTAGTCAGGAGTTGCCAACAGATAAAGGGCAGAGACCCCTGTACCTCTTCCTTCTCTAGAAAGGAAACAAAATATAAAGCTTACTTGGATTGCTCTTCAAAAAAGAAAATGGGCTGACAGCCTAGAGATGTCCTGTTTCTCCTCTCACCCTGGATTTTTAAGCCTTTTTTCAGAGGTCTGGTTATAGAGAGAATCTATCCAACTATTCATACTGAGTCACAGGCCTTCATGTGTTTTCATTTTCATTTTTCTGGCCTTGACAGATGCCCCCAGATAACATGGAAGGAAGAAGGTAAACTGATTCCAAGACCAAAAAACATTCTTGGTTTAAGAACACAAAAACCAGATTATGGAAAATTTTGTGGTTTGTGAAGTTGGGAAATTTGGAAAAATATGTACCTCTCCAAGTTACGCTCGGTGAAGAATGTTTAAGAGGTCAGTGCCACTTCAACTGGACTTCCCTAAGTTCTCCAGAATTTAGGGTCCCATCTTGCCTCTAGTAACCTAAAATATGAGTCAAGTCTGCATCTCACAGAACTATAAGAAGTCTCACATCATCCACAAATACAGGACTCTAAATATTTACATTCACCATATCATCTTTGGTCCTCAAATTGACTCCCCTTTGTGGTCATTGTCCATCATTCTTTATTTCCAGTAGGAATATTAACAGGAAAAACAGAGTAGACAAGAAATTTCTCCAGTATCTATAGACATTTCAGATCTGAAAGAGCTGGTAGGTAGAGAATTTGACATCGGCCCTTCCCACCCATCCCCACTCAACCCTTCTTTACATTCTACATATAAGCATAGCTTATTCATCTAATTTGTTAGGAACAGGGATGGATATTTTCATTAAGAAAGATAAAACACGGCAAAAACTGGATTTATCTTTATCCATCATCAAATACATAAGTAATGGCATGATGATGGTGGTTTCAATAACTAATACCTAGGTATAGCTTTCATCACTGACTGTAAAAGGAAAGAAGGCAGGGTTGAAGGCAGGCCTCCCTCTCTAGCAACGCAGAGAAAGGTGGGGTTTTCCTATTTTTTGAGATGAGGACTGCTACTTAATGTCAACCAACAACTAGAACGTATTGCTGGTTTTAACCCTCATAATAATGTAACCATGTAAAAATGGGGATATACTTTAGCCTCAAACCTGGATGTGGTCCAGTAAATGAAAATAATTTAAGTATCTATATGTACGTACAAAAATTTAAACCTGCTATCTAATTTTATACCCAGTGGCTCAACCTCAAGGAGACATTAGTAGACAAACATAACCAGACATCGTGATGTCCTCTGATGAGGGCTGAAGATCCTGGATGCAAGTGCACTGGATTCCAATCCAGATCCTTTTCACCCTTCCGACGTGAATACTTGTGTGTTTTGTCAGAGCCTCTTTGTTTTGTGAGCAGGGCCATTATCAAAGCTCTACATAAGGAACTGTGAGCTGTGAGCTGAATCAAATGTTTAATACATTCTAGTGCTGGATTTAGAAGAAAAGAAACTAAGGGAGGGCAGTGAGTTGATGTAAAAAAGGGGACACTGTAGAGTGGCTGCCTGGGCTCAAATACAAGCTCTGCTTCTTGATAGCTGTGTGATCATAAGGCATTTATTAAAATTATTTTTCTTGTCTTATTAGTAAAATGAGAGTGGATATAACAGCTCCTACTTCATAAGGTTCTTGTAAAGATTCACTGAATTCCTGTGCATTAAGAGCTTAGAATTCATCACATAAACAGAATAAAAACAAAAACTACATGAACGCTTCTACACTGCTGGTGGGAGTGTAAATTAGTTCAACCATTGTGGAAGACAGTGTGGCAATTCCTCAAAGACCTAGAACCAGAAATAGCATTTGACCCAGCAATCCCATTACTGGGTATATACCCAAAGGATTATCAACTGTTCTATTATAAAGATACATGCACGAGTATGTTCACTGCAGCACTAGTCACAATGGCAAAGACATGGAATTCACCTAAATGCCCATAAATGGTAGACTGGATAAAGAAAATGTGGTACATATGCACCATGAAATACTATGCAGCCATAAAAAAAGAATGAGATCATGTCCTTTACAGGGAAATAGATGGAACTGGAGACCATTACCTTCAGTAAACTAGCACAGGACCAGAAAACCAAATATGGCATGTTCTCATGCATAAGTAAGTGGGAGCTAAATGATGAGAACACATGGACACATAGAGGGGAACAACACACACTGGGACCTATCAAAGGGTGGAAGGTGGGAGGAAGGGTAGGATCGGGAAAAATAACTAATGGATACTAGGCTTAATACCTGGGTGATAAAATAATCTGTACAACAAACCTGCATGACACATGTTTACCTATATAACAAACCTGCACATCCTGCATATGTACAACTGAATTTAAAATAAAAGTTAAAAAAAAGACCAGAAAAGACCAGAAATAATTACCAAAAAAAAAAAAAAAAGGAGCTTTAATACCTGGGAGAAAAAAAATACTTTGGTCTTTAGTAGGGTAAGGATCTGAGAAGGGAGGGAACTGATGGATGCCTAAGGGGAAAATCTTAAAAATGAAGAGGAATGTCGATAGGTGGTAAGTTAAGAGATTTGCAGGCTACGGTTGGGAATAGGTTCTTACAAAAGAAAAAACACTTTATAGGTGACAGGAACACCATGAAGACAGTGAAAGGCTTGTTACCATTTTGGTCAAGCAACTTTGGCAAAAGGGATCTGAATCTCAGAAGAAACTCAATGGGAAGTTTTTCCTCAGACTTTCAGTTTCTAGGTCTTACGTCTGATAATTAATTTAGAGAATTAACTGAGCTAGTCCAGAACAGGGAGGGTGTCAGTAGAAATGTCTGCATTCTAGGGAAAGTATTATACTGCTTGCAACTTAACACGCCCCGTGTATCCACCATGCCATGTCATATGATGTATATATCATGTGTTACTCCACTCACAGAGGTGTCAATCATATCTAATTACACATGATTGCCTCCCTCTTGAGAAGAGTACCACATGAAGAATAGAACACTTAAGGATGGCAGCCCAGCCTAATGACTGACTCATGCACCTTTCTTTTTATATTTTAAAAATATGTAATTGACAAACAAAATTTGTATATATTCAAGGTGTGCAATGTGATTTGATATGTATATACATCGCGTACTGATTACCATAGTAAAATTAACTAACACATCATTCACCGCTCTTAGTTACCATTTGTGTGTGTGTTGTGGGGGTGTGGTGAGGACACTTAAAATCTGCTCTCTTATCAAATTTCCAGTAAACAATTACAGCATTATTATCACTATGCTATACATTAGATAGCCAGAGCTTATCTATTACGTAACTCAAAGTTTGTACTCTTTGACCAACATGCATCTTTCAAAAACACATCATTGTTTTCAATCTGATTGGTGACTGGTGTTCATACAAAGGGCCTCTGTAGCATGCACTACACTGTCTTTCTTCATCCATCCTTTCCTGTGTTGTCCAATCATGGTTTGGAGTTATGACATGGCAATTTTCAGAACTATGAACCATTAAGCTTTTCTGCTAGACTCTCTTGTGCACGGAAGAAAAATCCTTGCATGTCTTATCCTGTTTATTTTTTCCATTATTATAAAGTGTTAGAAAGCAGTTTACATTCCTCAGGTCTAATAGTTAACAGGAAAATATACTCTATGTCATCTATGCTCGTCACCTGAAGATGAGTCCCTCTACCTGAGTTACATCCCTCAACTCCTGAACCACAGAATAAGCAGGGAAAACACACAAGATTCTAGGATAGGATGGTAATCACTGATGTGATGGAGAGTAGAAATGTCTGTTTCTCCTTAAATCCTAGAGCAAAAATAAAAATATTTTACTTACCAGGAATGAACTGCAAAACAGAAAATGTTCTTGGCATCTATGGATGCCATTAAACTTCTTCCAGTTTGTGAGATTTCTGAGTCTTTCCCTCGAGCGTGGTCTTTTCAAGCATTTTTGTTTGCATTTTTCTCCATTTGGAAACATGCAACTATGTGTCTTCATTTTCCTGGATGAACTAAATCTGGGACACCAAAATATAGTAACACAAATATGGTAAATGGATGTCAGAGAACTGGGATGGAAGAAAGAGGTGATTGTAAGTAGCCTAAAATGTGAAGTTGCTACCAGTCAAAAATTATGGTATCTTAATGGAAGAAACAAGTTCCCAGCCTTTCTCATGCACCCTACCCTTAATTTTGTGTTGCTGTGGCTAAGCAACAGGTACAGATGTTAGGGGCACTGTTCGTACACTCAGCTCACTTTCGTAGGGTGTAGGCTTTAGTGTGGTTTTGGCAGGTTGAGAATATGGGGTCTCTGATCATCATCACCCCAGAATAATCATAAAACAGAGTTTCAACCCTGGAATGAGCAGGCTGAGAAGACCAAAATCTACGACTACCAATCTTCACTCTGTACATAAAGCAGGAGTGTTGTGAAAGAAGCAGGTCGCTGCACCTTCCCAAAGCTTGAGAGCAGTGAGTCAGAGATTCTTTTTCCCAGTGTGAGAAGTGAGTTTGAATAAAAGATGGTATTATAGCTCTCCTAAAAAAAAAAATAGGACTTTATTTATAGCAGAGTCAGGGAAAGCTCAGGCTTAACGATGCTCCAGGTAACAACACAGATTTTGGAGGTAAGTAAGTAAGATGGATTTGGTAGCTGTATGAGAGCAACAAGCTAAACCACAGGCCAGCTTATTTACCAGAGTATCCGATAAACTGACAGCTAATAAGAGCCTTCCTGTATCAGAACAAACCTGAAAGACTTGCCTTTAAAACAACGTGTTCCAAGTGGCTTAAATTATTTTGATCAAACTCTGATACGTTTTTCCCTTAAAATTCAAAAAAAACGATAGAGAAAGTCAGCATTCAGTGAGAAAACCTAACATCTCTGTGTGATACACAGAGACCACTAGCTGGACAGAGAGATCAGGAAAAGAAACAAAAAGAATGCTACTAAAATCACTGTCATCTTAGAGTTACTATGTGCATACAAAGGCTGTGCTCTCTAAAGAACAGTATAAGAAAATTCACAGCAGATAAGTAAATAAACTCCAGCCAATTCAATAAACAAATTAAAAACAGACAACAACAACAACAGTAAAAGCCAGGTGCGGTGGCTCACGTCTGTAAAGCCCAGCACTTTGGGAGGCTGAGGTGGGTAGATCACCAGGTCAGGAGATTGAGACCATCCTGGCCAACATGGTGAAACCCCGTCTCTACTAAAAATACAAAAATTAGCTGGGCGCGGTGGCGGGCGCCTGTAGTCCCAGGTACTCAGGAGGCTGAGGCAGGAGAATCGCTTGAACCCAGGAGGCAGAGGTCGCAGTGAGCCGCGATCACGCCACTGCACTCCAACCTGGGTGATAGAGCGAGACTCCATCTCAAAAACAAAACAAAGAAACAAAAAAAATATAATTCCTCAGAGGAAGTGGTTATTATCCAGAATACAATATTTGATCTTAACTATCCTGTTTTACAGAAAATCATAATATGTACAAAAAAAAGATAGTGTAGTCTTTACAGATAACAAAAATATATGACAGAAAATGCCCATGAGAGGGCACAGAAATCATGCTAACAGTTAAAGACTTTATCGCAACAATTAAAGATTTCAAAGAAATAAAAAAAATTTAGATGTAAAGGAAGTTATGATGGCAATGTCTCATCTAAAGTTTATAATAATAAAAATGTAGAAAACACTTTTTTTTTTTTTGAGACGGTGTCTCCTCTGTCACCCAGGCTGGAGCGCAATGGTACGATCTTGACTCACTACAACCTCCACCTCCCAGGTTCAAGTGATTCTCCTGCCTCAGCCTCCCAAGTAGAGAGGACTACAGGCACCTACCATCATGCCCGGCTAATTTTTGTATTTTTGTAGATATGGGGTTTCACTATGTTGGCCAGGCTGGTCTTGAACTCCTGACCTCAGATGATCTGCCTGTCTCAGCCTCCCAAAGTGCTGGGGAAAACACTTATTAAAAAAGGAAAATATGGATTTTAAAAGTACAATAACTTAAATATAAAAGTTCAATAGAGAATCTCAACAGTATATTTCAACTATCAGAATAAATAATACATCGCACATTAATAGTACTAATGCCTTATGAAGAACGCAGAGTAAAATGAATGAGGAAAAATGAACAGAGCATCAAGGAAGTAAAACACCAGAAAGGGCAAAAGATTTGCATTATGGAATTACCAGAATAAGAAGAGAGAGAAAAGGAAAAAAGAAACCTGCTCAAATATTCTTCGGAAGGAACACTTCCTAAATTTGATGAAAAATGTTACACATCCAAGAGGTAAAACAAATTTCAAGTAGAACAAATACAAAGAAACTCAGATTAACAGACATTACATGCAATCTGTTGATACCTATGGAAAATAGTTAATATTGACTGCTGCAGGAGAAAAGCGACTCATTGCATACGGGGATTTTTGTAAGATTAATAGCTGACTTTTCATAAGAAAGTATACAGACCAGAAAGCAGTGGGAGGTGACATTCAACATGCTAAAAGAAAAACATAGTCAAACAAGAATAATATAAGGCTAACAGCTGTTCACTATAGCACTAAAAGTACAACTCATAACATAAATATATCAATAAATTGCACTTTATTAAAATTGTAAACACTTGCTTTGTATGAAACAGTTAAGAGAATGAAAAGACAGATTGTGGACTGAGATACGCATGCAAATCACATTTTTCAAGGAGTTGTATTCAGAACATATAAGAACTCTTAAATATCATTAATAATAACTCAGCGCAATAAAATTTGTAAAAATTCCTCAATGGATACTTCATTAAGAAGATGTATGAATAGCAAATAAATATATTAAGAGACACTCAATACTTGTAGTCAATATGAATGTACGAATTAAAACTACAATGACAAAAATCTATACAAATATTACAGTGGCTAATAAAAACACAAAACAACACAAAAATTGCCAATAAAATACACTGATAAGAATATGAGTAACTGGAGATGTTAGACATTTTTCATGGCAGCAAAAAAGTTTAAAGCAGTTCTGGAATAAGTTATTTTTCTATTGCTTTTAAATTTAAAATTACATTTACCATAAGACCTACAAGTTTACACAAGTAAAATAAAACTTGTGTTTACACACATATCTGTATGCAACTGTGTACGGTACAATTATTGAAAAAAAAAAAAACCAACTTGAAAAAAAAAAACAAGATTGTCCATCACCTGACTTGTACCCAACTCAGTAATAAAAACAACACTGAAGCAATTGAGTCTTGTCTGCTTTTCTTGCATTCTCTCTCCCTGTCTCTGTTTCTCTCTCTGTGTGTGTCTTTTTTTCACACTCACTCTCTCACTCATCACAGTGTTAGGAAGTGACACCACATGAAAAATAAAAGGAAAACGAAAGACATGTAAGTTAAAATAAATAGTAATAGCAAAACAAAATGAAATAAATCAAAGAGTACAAGTTTCTGTGTGCTCTGCACAACCTCTTATAAATTGGTGGCTTATAAAGGATTCAAATGCTTTTCAAAGAATGAGTACCTCTTCAGCCAATGAAGAAAAAAATGAGCTTTCATATTTGAGACAGAAAATATGTTGTCAGCAGGTTGGGATCTGAGTAGTAGGAGGGGATTTGGAAAGGCCTAAAAAGAAGGCTTGAAAACGAGGAGGAGGGAATAATAAATAATAACTTGTAAACTGATATAAGCATCAAGAAAGAAAAAGGTTCTGTAAAAACTTAATACTCTGCAGCAGAGAATAAAAACATAGCCACACTGAAAACCTGGTTTTCATTTTTGTCAGGCAACTTTGTAAAAATAGGTATCAATCCCAGGAAAAGATATCCCAGGAAAAAATAAAAACAAGAAAAGGCGTTTTTCCAGGACCTTTAGTTCCTAGGACTTACCTCTGCAAATTTACATAAGATGATTCCATGAGATAGTCCAGCAGGGTGGCGGAGGTGTGTGAACAGCATAGATGTACTCTATGGAAAACAGCTCTCTGCATGCAACTAATCTTCCCTCAAGTGCACCCATAGTTATATTACATATGCTGCATATGTCACGTGTTACACCACTCGTAGAGGTTTCAATCATATGTCATTACCATATGTGATTGCTACTCTCTCGAGTAAGGCCCCGCAGACAGCATGTCTAAGGATGGAAGCCCTGCTTAAACACCCATTCATGTACCTTTTAAAAAGCTACGCAATGTTTTCAGGCTGTGAGTGGCTACCAGTATTTGTTCAAAGTACCTCTACAGTGAACACTCCACTGTTTTTTTTCCTCATCCATTCTTCCCTGAAGTGCTGTCCACTTGTGTGTTGAAGTTTTCACATGGTAGTTTTCAGAACTGAGGAGCAATAAGCCTCTTTGTTTGGTTGTTTGAGACGGAGTCTCACTCTGTTGCCCAGGCTGGAATGTGGTGGTGCAATCTTGGCCCACAGCAACCTCCGCCTCCCAGGTTCAAGCAATTCTCCTGCCTCAGCCTCCCGAGTGGCTGGGATTACAGGTGCCCACCACCACACCCAGCTAATTTTTGTATTTTTAGTAGAGACGGGGTTTCACTATGTTGGCTAGGCTGGTGTCCAACTCCTGACCTCAAGTGATCTCCCGCCTTTGCCTCCCAAAGTGCTGGGATCATTAAGCCTTTCTCTTATGTTCTCTTGCATATATAAGACGTACCCCTGTGTGTCTTGTCCTGGTTTTTTTTATCCATTATTATATATAAAGCATTAACAAATCATTTGTCTTCTTTAGACCCAATAATTAAGCAGTAAATACACTCCATCTCACCACTCTTGCCTTGTCACCCAAAGATCTGAGTCCTTTTATCTGAGTTATGTTCCTCAATTTCTGAATCACAGAATGAGCAGATAAAAAAGACCAGATTGGCCAGGCGAAGTGGCTCATGCCTGTAATCCCAGCACTTTGGGAGGCCGAGGTGGGCGGATCACGTGGTCAGGAGATCGAGACCATCCTGGCTAACACGGTGAGACCCAGTCTCTACTAAAAATACAAAAAAATGAGCCGGGCGTGGTGGGGGGCACCTGTAGTCCCAGCTACTCAGGAAGCTGAGGCAGGAGAATGGTGTCAACCCAGGACATGGAGCTTGCAGTGAGCCGAGATCGTGCCACTGCACTCCAGCCTGGGTGACAGAGCGAGACTCGGTCTCAAAAAAAAAAAAAAAAAAAAAAATTAGTGTGATGGCAGCTACCTGTAGTCCCAGCTGCTGGGGAGGCTGAGGCAGGAGAATGGCATGAACCCAGGAGGTGGAGCTTGCAGTGAGCCAAGATCGCGCCACTGTACTCTAGCCTGGGTGACAGAGCAAGACTCCATCTCAAAAAAAATGAAAAAAAAAAAAAAAAAAAGACCAGATCAACTAAGTAAATAACAAGATAATAATCAGTAGGTTCAGTAGGTAGTGGAATGGAAGGAGTAAAAACTCATTTTTCTTTCCAGACTCCGTAATCGAAAAAGCTCATTTTACATACCAGCAGTGATCAACGAGACAGAAAATGGTCTTGGTATCTTGGGATGTTCTTATATTTCTTTTTGTTCCTGAGTTTTCTGAGCATTTTCCTGGAACAAGATAGTTTAAAGTTTTTTTTTTTTTTACACTTTTCCATTCAGTAACATAGCATGAGCATGGCCTCAGAAAGGTGAAACACCAGAGTCATACCAAAATATGCCTAATGGAAATAGCATTAGGACAGGAGAGAGAAAACCAGAAAAAAATAGTGTTGAAAGAAATAATGCTAAAAACTTCAAATTTCATAAAAAACATAAATGTACACATCAAAAAAGTGAGATAAGCATGAAGATATCCAGACTTAAAGACATTGTATTCAATCTGTTAATGGAGAGAGAGAGAGAGAAAGAGAATGTGTAAAAGAAAGAATACCTTTATAGCTGCAAGAGAAAGGGAGCATATTTCATACAAGTGATTCTTACAAGATTTAACACTGACTTCTTTTGAGAAACCATGGAAGCTGGAATCAGTTGTAGAACATATTCAAAATGCTGAAAGAAAAACACAGTTAACCATGAATCTCACATCTAAGTCTAAAAGTTGTTAGATACAGCATTAAAAGCATAATGCATACATTGAAAAACTGTTAAGTCGTACTTTATCAAAATTGAAAACATTTGCTCTGCACAAAATACTGTTGAAAATGAAAAAAACAAAACAGATTGAGAGATAATATATGTAAATCATAATTCTGGCCAAGAAATTGTATGCAGTATACCTATATATCTCTATCTATATGTATATAGTAAACCTCAAAGATAAGTGAACAACTCGGTAAAGGTGAGAAAAATCCCAAAGGCACTTCACCAAGGAAGATACATGAATGGTAAGTAAGTACATGTACAGGTGCTCAACATTTTCCGTCAGTAAGGTGATGCAAATTAAAACCACAACTGACAAGGGAACTATACACATATTAAAATTGCTAATAAAAACAAAACAAAGGCTTTTCAATACAAAATGCTGATAAGAAGTTGGGTAATTGGATCACTAATACATTGCTTAATGCAGCACAAAATGGTAAAACCATTCTGGAAATTATTTTTTAATTAATTTTAAATGTAAACTTACACTTGCCATGTGACCTTCAAATCCTACTAGTAGCAGTTTACACAAGGAAAATGAAACTTGTGTTCATATATACATCTGTATGCAAATATACAAAGTAGCTTTATTTTTAGCCATGAATAACTGGAATAAAACCTAGATGTCCACCTGTGACTTCTACCCTACTTGATTAAAAAAAAAAAAAAAACAGATTATTCTTGCTCTAATTCTGACTCTCATTCTCTCTCCTTTACCCATTTTCTGCTTCCATACACCCTCTCTCATCACTGAATGAGAAAGAAACAACATAAAGGAAGTAAATGAAAACCTAGAGATAAAAAATGTTTTTAAGTAAATGCAAAAAAATCAAACAATAAAAAATTCTCAGCATTATTCACAATTCCTGATATATGACTTACTAATAATAGATTAAAATATATTTACAAAAGAACGAATATGTACTTTATTAGCACATGAAGAAAGAGGACATTTTATATCTGAGATAGAATATATTTTGATTTTCAGAAGGTTAAGTGTTTAAGAAGCAGGAGGGAATTTTGGAAAGCTTAAGAAGACTTGAAAATGAGAAAGGAAGCTAACAGTTAACAGATTTGGATGTTGGAGTAGGCAATAGTTTCTGCAAAAAGAATAATACTCTTAAGGCAGAAAGAAACTGTAAAATGGCAAGATAAACCTTGGTTCAATCAGGCAACATCATAGAAATGGAAATCAATCTCAGAAGAACTCAATGGGAGGCTTGTTGCAAGGACCTTAAATTCCTAGATCACGTGTCTGGTGGTCAGGCACCTGAGAGAGTTTTCTGAGGTAGTCCAGCATGGAAGTGGAGGGTTTGTGAGGGTAAAATACCTGCACTGTAAGGAAAGCATCCCTCTGCATGCAACTAAATGCCTCCAACACACACACAGTGTCATCATGTATGTTGCACGTGTCATGCAGTACTCTACCCACAGACGTACCAATCATTTTTAATTATACATGATTGCCACTGTCTGCAGTAGGGTACCACACACAGCATGTCTGAGGATGGCAGCCTTGCCTTAATACCCACCCATTCACCTTTAAAACAACCATTCAATATTTACAAGCTGTGCGTGGCCATTGGAATTTGGACGAAGGACTTCTGCAGAATTCAATCCACTATCTTTCCTTATATTTCCCGCTTTGAGTCCTGTCCACTCCCACGTTGCATCTTTCACATGACAGTTTTCAGAACTGAGAAATATTAAACATTTCTGTTAGGTTCTGTTACTCACAGAAGAAATATCCTTGCATGTCTTATCCTGTTCCTTATAATAGATTAAAATGTATTTACAAAAGAACGAATATGTACTTTATTAGCACATGAAGAAAGAGGACTTTGTATATCTGAGATAGAAAATATTTTGATTTTCAGAAAAGTTAAGTGTTTAAGAAGCAGGAGAGAATTTTGGAAGGCTTAAGAAGACTTGAAAATGAGAAAGGAAGCTAACCATTAATAGATTTGGATGTTGGAGCAGGAAACAGTTTCTGCAAAATGAATAATACTCTTAAGGCGTAAAGAAACTGTATAATGGCACAATAAACCTTGATTCAATCAGGCAGCATCATAGAAATGGAAATCAATCTCAGAAAAACTCAATGGGAGGCTTGTTGCAAGGACCTTAAATTCCTAGACCATGTGTCTGATTAGGCACCTAAGAGAGTTTTTTGAGGTAGTCCAGCATGGAAGTGGAGGGTTTGTGAGGGTAAAATACCTGCACTATAGGGAAAGCATCCCTCTGCATGCAACTAAATGCCTCCAACACACACACAGTGTCATCATGTATGTTGCACGTGTCATGCAGTACTCTACCCACAGACGTACCAATCATTTTTAATTATACATGATTGCCACGTCTGCAGTAGGGTACCACACACAGCATGTCTGAGGATGGCAGCCTTGCCTTAATACCCACCCATTCACCTTTGAAACAACCATTCAATATTTACAACCTGTGAGTGACCATTGGAATTTGGACAAAGGACTTCTGTAGAATCCAATCCACTATCTTTCCTTATGTTTCCTGCTTTGAGTGCTGTCCACTCCCATGTTGCAGCTTTCACATGACAGTTTTCAGAACTGAGAAATATTAAACATTTCTGCTAGGTCCTGTTACTCACAGAAGAAATATCCTTGCATGTCTTATCCTGTTCCTTATAATAGATTAAAATATATTTACAAAAGAACGAATATGTACTTTATTAGCACATGAAGAAAGAGGACTTTGTATATCTGAGACAGAAAATATTTTGATTTTCAGAAAGTTAAGTGTTTAAGAAGCAGGAGGGAATTTTGGAAGGCTTAAGAAGACTTGAAAATTAGAAAGGAAGCTAACCGTTAATAGATTTGGATGTTGGAGAAGGAAATAGTTTCTGCAAAATGAATAATACTCTTAAGGCAGAAAGAAACTGTAAAATGGCAAGATAAACCTTGGTTCAATCAGGCAACATCATAGAAATGGAAGTCAATCTCAGAAGAACTCAATGGGAGGCTTGTTGCAAGGACCTTAAATTCCTAGATCACGTGTCTGGTGGTCAGGCACCTGAGAGAGTTTTCTGAGGTAGTCCAGCATGGAAGTGGAGGGTTTGTGAGGGTAAAATACCTGCACTGTAAGGAAAGCATCCCTCTGCATGCAACTAAATGCCTCCAACACACACACAGTGTCATCATGTATGTTGCATGTGTCATGCAGTACTCTACCCACAGACGTACCAATCATTTTTAATTATACATGATTGCCACTGTCTGCAGTAGGGTACCACACACAGCATGTCTGAGGATGGCAGCCTTGCCTTAATACCCACCCATTCACCTTTAAAACAGCCATTCAATATTTACAAGTTGTGGGTGGCCATTGGAATTTGGACAAAGGACTTCTGCAGAATCCAATCCACTATCTTTCCTTATGTTTCCTGCTTTGAGTGCTGTCCACTCCCATGTTGCAGCTTTCACGTGACAGTTTTCAGAACTGAGAAATATTAAACATTTCTGTTAGGTTCTGTTACTCACAGAAGAAATATCCTTGCATGTCTTATCCTGTTCCTTTTCACATTGCTACTTGCAAAGCATTAACTACCAGTTTGCATTCTCCATATCCATTAATTAAGTAGTAAATAATCCTCCATCTCATCAATCTCATATGATAAGGTTTGGCTCTGTGTCCCCACCTAAATTTCATCTTGTAGCTCCCATGATTCCCATATGCTGTGGGAGGGACCCAGTGGAAGATGATTGAATCATGGGGGCAGGTCTTTCCTCTGCTGTTCTCATAATAGTGACTAAGTCTCATGAGATCTGATGGTTTTAAATATGGGAGTTTTCCTGCACAAGCTCTCTATCTTTGCCTGTCGCCATCCATGTAAGATGTGACATGCTCCTCCTTGCCTTCTAACATGATTGTGAGGCTTCCCCAGCCACATGGAACTATGAATTCTCCATTAAACCTCTTTCCTTTGTAAATTGCCCAGTCTTGGGTACGTCTTTATCAGCAATGTGAAAATGGGCTAATACAGTAAATTGGTACCAGTAGAGTGGGACACTGCTGAAAAGATACCTGAAAATATGGAAGCGACTTTCGAACTGGGTAACAGGCACGGGATGAAACACTTTGGAGAGCTCAGAAGAAGACAGGAAAATGTAGGAAAGTTTGGAACTCCCTAGAGACTTGACTTGTTGAATGGCTTTGCCCAAAATGCTGATAATGATATGGACAATGAAATCCAGGTTAAGGTAGTCTCAGATGGAGATGAGGAACTTGTTAGAAACTGCAGCAAAGGTGACTCTTTATGTTTTAGCAAAGAGACTGGCAGCATCTTGCCCCTGCCCTAGAGATCTGTGGAACTTTGAACTTGAGAGAGATGATTTAGGGTACCTGGCAGAAGAAATTTCTAAGCAGCAAAGCATTCAAGAGGTAACTTGCATGCAGTTAAAGGCATTCCATTTTATAAGGGAGGCAGAGCATAAAAGATTGGAAAATGTGCAGCCTGACAATGCTATAGAAAAGAAAAACCCACTTTCTGAGGAAAATCCAAGCCAGCTGTAGAAATTTGCATAAGTAATGAAGAGCCAAATGTTAGTCCCCAAGACAATGGGGAAAGTATCTCCATGGCATGTTAGAGGTCTTCGTGGCAGCCCCTCCCATCACAGGCCTGGAGGCCTAGGGGGATAATGTTGCTTTGAGGGCCAGGCCCAGGGTTCCTGTGCCGTGTGTAGTCTAGGGACTTGGTGCCCTGTGTCCCATCCACTCCAACTGTGGCTAAAAGGGGTCAAGGTATAGCTCAGGCTGTGGCTTTGGAGGGTACAAGCCCCAAGCCTTGGCAGCTTCCATAAGCTGTTGAGCCTGTGGGTTCACAGAAGTCAAGAACTGAGGTTTCGGAACCTCCACCTAGATTTCAGAGGATGAATAGAAATGCCTGGATCTCCAGGCAGAAGTTTGCTGGAGAGGCAAGGATCTCACGGAGAACCTCTGCTAGGACAGTGCAGAAGGAAAAGCTGAGATCACAGCCCCAACACAGAGTCCCTACTGAGGCACTGCCTAGTAGAGCTGTGAGAAGGCCACCATACGCCAGACCCCAGAATGGTAGATCCACTGACAGCTTGCACTGTGTGCCTACAAAAGCCACAGACACTCAACACTGGCCCATGAAGACAGCCAAGAAGGAGGCTGTACCCTGCAAAGCCACAGGGGAAGAGTTGCCCAAGACCTTGGGAACCTACCTTTTGCATCAGCATGACCTGGATGTGAGAAATGGAGTCAAAGGAGATCACTTTGGAGCTTTAAGATTTGACTGCCCCACCAGATTTTGGACTTGCATGGGACCTGTAGCCCGTTTGTTTTGGCCAATTTCTTCCATTTGGATTGGCTGTATCTTCCCAATGCCTGTACCCCCAACTATATCTAGGAAGTAACTAACCTGCTTTTGATTTTACAGGCTCTTAGGTTGAAGGGACTTGCCTTGTCTCAGACAAGACCTTGGATTGTGGACTTTTTAGTTAATGCTGAAATGAGTTAAGACTTTGGGGGACTGTTGGGAAGGAATGATTGTGTTTTGAAATATGAGAACATGAGATTTTGGAGGGGCCTGAGTGGAATGATATGGTTTGGCTCTGTGTCCCCACCCAGATCTCATCTTGTAGCTCCCCTGATTCCCATGTGTTGTGGGAGGGACCCGGTGGAAGATTGAATCATGGGGGCGGGTCTTCCCTGTGCTGTTCTTGTGATTGTGACTAAGTTTCACAAGATCTGATGGTTTTAAAAATGGGAGTATTCTAGTGCAAGCTCTCTCTCTCTTGGCCTGCCACCATCCTTGTAAGATGTGACTTGTTCCTCCTTGCCTTCTGCCATGATTGTGAGGTTCCCCCAGCCACATGGAACTGTGAGTTCTCCATTAAACCTCTTTCCTTTGTAAATTGCTTAGTCTTGGGTATGTCTTTATCAGCAGTGTGAAAACTGATTAATACACCATATCTGTCACCTGAAGATATGAGTCCCTCTAAGTCTTGAGTTATGCACCTCAACTACTGAGACACAGAATAAACAAGAAAAACACACATGATCCTGGAATTAAAGAATAGAATAATCAGTGAATGATGAGATAAAGAGAGCAGAAATTTCCTTTCTTCCTCAGCAAGTAATGTGTAAAAAGCCCATTTTACTTATCAGGAGTAATCTACAAGATTAAAACTATACCTGTTGCCTAAGGATGCCCTCAAATTCTTTCCTAGGTTTTCAGGGTCTTTTCTTGGAACAAGTTTGTTTTGAGCATGCTATTGTATTTTTCCATTCTGAGATATACTACATAGTGTATGCATCTCCGTGGAAAAACTGAACCTGGTACATCAAGCTATGGGTATATAAATATGATGAATGAATGCCAGAGGATGAGGATTGAGGAGTTTAGGTGACTGTGGCCTACAAAAGGAATTTCCTTCCAGCACCCAATAAGTGCTATGGTATATTCATGGAAGTCATAGGCTTTCGGCATTTCTCAACCATCCCACACACCCAGCTTAATGGCTCGGAGACAAAACACCATGTGTACGTGGTAAGAAGTCAGGGGCACTCTTCCAATGCTCAGACCACTATTCTAGAGTGTACTGCAGATGCAGCATATGAAAACGTGGTCTACAACCACTGATAAGCAACATGCTCATAAAGCAGAAGTGTCCCTGTGAGGGAAGGAAGCCACTGCCCTTAATGCCATCTCCGGCTCAGTGATTCTAAGATTTTGCCTAGTGTGAGATGCTGGCCTAATATAGAATATTAAAGCTCTCCCTAAAGTAGGGGTCCCCAACCCCCAGGCTGTGGACCAGTACCAGTCCATGACCTGTTAGGAACCAGGCCACACAGCAGGAGGTGAGTGGTGGGCAAGCAAGCCAGCATTACTGCCTGACCTCCACCTACTGTCAGTTCAGTGGTAGCATTAGATTCTCATAGAAGCAAGAACCCTATTGTGACCTGCCCACGTGAAAGATCTGGGTTGCACACTGCTTATGAGAATCTAATGCCTGATGATCTGAGATGAAACAGTCTCATCCCAAAACCATCCCCTCCAACCTGGTCTGTGGAAAAATTGTCTTCCATGAAACCAGTCCCTGGTGCCAGGAAGGTTGGCGACCACTGCCCTACAGAATCTGACTCTATTTGTAACAGAGTATGGGAAAGGTCAATCCTAATACATTCTCAAAAGCAATGTAGATTTTGGTGATTAGCAAATAAGATGATGCTCCCTGAGAGCAAGAAACCAGAGCGAACCAGGGAAAGAGATAAATAACGAAAGCCCTCTTGGTTTCCGTAAAAACTTAAAAACATTCCTCAAAAACTACCTATGGAAAAGCACCTAAATTATTTGAATAAAACTCTGGAACAGTTTTTGTCCATAGCGTTTAAGAAATATATAATAATTATCTAAAATTAGGGATCCTAAGGGCTCTGTGGAATCCACCCAAAGGCAGACAGCTTGACAAAGAGAGCAGGAACAAAAACAGTCAAAAAGAACCCCAATAAAACTGCTGTCTTTGGTTGGGCATGATGGCTCTCACCTATAATCCCAGTACATTGAGAGGCTGAGGTGGGAGGATTGCTTGAGGCTAGGAGTTCAAGACCAGCCTGGGCAACACAGTAAGGCCCCATCTCTACAAAATAAATACACACAAAAAAGCAAACGAAAAACCCCTGCTGTCTTCTTTGAATGACTAAGTGCATATTGAAGGCTATGCCCTACGAAGAGCAACATAAGAGGCTTCATGCTGCAGACAAATCTTTAATAGTACAGTATTTTAAATTTAATATGCCGTTAAACAAAAGACAAAAACAAAACAATCTCTAGGAGGGGAGAATATTATCTGGAATTGCTACAGTAAATCATCTAAAATGTCTAGCTTTCAATAACATTTCTAAGACATGAAAAGAAAAGGAAAATGTATCCTATACACAGGAGAAAAACAGACACTAGAATCCAAAGTATTCCTGTGATGAGGTCCAAATATCACAGTCATGGATAAATACGTTAAAGCAAGTATAAATATTTACAAAGATATAAACCATTATTTGAGAAATAAAGGAAGTTATTGTGACAATCTCTCATCAGACACATATATCAAAAAAGAGGTAGAAAATGTTTTAAATAGAATATTCTGGAGTTTAAAAGCACAACATCTGAAATGAAAAAAATCAACAGAGAGGTTCAACAGTAGATTTGAACTAGCAGAGGAAAGACTAGAAAACAGATTGATAATGATTATTCTTTACAGAGAATATACAGTAAAATGAATGAGTGTAAAAAGCAGAGCCTTAGATAAAAGTGGAACAGGAGAAGAAACAATAAAATATGTATTGGGAGTAACAGAAGGAGAGAGAAAAGGAAAAAGAGCAGTAAAAAATCTTTAAAATAATGGTTAAAAATTTCCCAAATGTAATAAAAAACAATAACCTACACATTAAAGACATGCAACAAATTCAAAGTAGAATAAACATAAGGAGGTCCAAATGGACAGATATTATATTTAATCTGTCGGTGATGATAAAAGGAATTTTGAAAGCTATAACAGAAAAACAGTTCATTGCGTAAAATAAATCCTCACTAAGATTAACACTGAACATTTCATCAGAAACCATGGAGGCCAGAAGACAGTGAGATGACATATTCAAAGTGCTGAAAAAATAATATGTCAACCAAGATTCTTATATCTAAGACTAAAAGCTCTTAGATTAGACATTAAAAGCACAATTCAGAAAGGAAAAAGAATGACCAATTACAATATATCAAAATAAATGTAATAACCTTTGTTCTGTGTAGCACAATGCTAATAGAGTGAAAAACAAAGACACCCTGTGAAAATATATGCGATTGACATTTCTGTAAAATGACTGAAAGTATGAATACAATAAAAACTCTTAAACTCAATAATAGTAAATCAAACAACTCAATAAAAATGGAAAAAGTATCCACATCTCCACGGACAGTTTGCCAGAGAAGATATGTGAATGGCAAGTAAGTGTATGAGGCAATTTCCAACATTTTCAGACAATGAGGAGATGCAAACTAAAACCATGACTGTGTGTACTAAAACAGCTAATAAAAAATAAGCCACAAAACTGCTGATACCAAGTGCTGGTAGGGATTTGGTTAACTGGAACTCTGCCACATTGTTCATGGCAGCATAAAATATTAAAGCCATTCTGGAAAACAGTTCTTATGAATGTCTTTTTTTTTCCTTTCTTTTGTATTTAGTTGTCTTTAAAACTAGTAGATAAAATGGTATGTACTTACCATGTACAACATGATGTTTTGAAGAATATATACATAGTGCAATAGTTAAATCTAGCTAATTAACAGATGTGTTACCTCACATAGTTATCTTTTTGGAGTGAGAACACTAAACATTTACCATCTTTGGATTTTTCAAGAATACAATATGTCATTATTAATTATAGTCACCATGCTGTGCAATAGATCTCTTGAACTTATTACTACTATCTATCTCTAATTATGTATTATTTGACCAATATTTCCTTATCTTCACCCTGAACACCTCAGCCTCTGGTAATCCCCATTCTACTCTCTATTTCTATGAGATCAACATTTTTAGATTCCACATATGAGTGAGATCATGAAATACTGATGAAAGAAATTGGAAAAGACACAAATAAATGGAAAGACATCCCATGTTCATGAATTTTAAGAAATACATTGTTTTTGCATGTGGTGGCTCATGCCTGTAGTCCCAGCACTTTGGGAGGCTGAGGTGGGTGAATTACTTGCACTCACAAGTATGAGACCAGCCTGGGCAACAAAGTGAGACCCCATCACATCACTACAAAAAACATTAACACAAAAATTAGCTGCATGTAGTGGCGTGCACCTGTAGTCCCAGCAACTCATGAGGCTGAAGTGGGAGCATGGCTTGAGCCTGGGAGGCAGAAGTGGCAGTAAGCTGAGATTGCCCCACTGCACTACAGCTTGGGCAACAGAACCAGACTCTGTCTCAATAAATATGTATTTAACATTTCCATGCTTCCCAAAAACAATTTACAGGTTCCATGCAATCCTTATCAAAATGCCAATGACATTCTTCATATAAATCCAAAAACAGGTGGATCACACTTTTGTAATCCTAGCACTTTGGGAGGCAGAGGCCTGAGGATTGCTTGAGCCCAAAAGTTTGAGACCAGCCTGGGCAACATCAGGAGACTTCTGCTTTACCAAAAAAAAAAAAAAAAAAAAAAAAAAAATCAGAAAATTAGCCAGGCATGGTGGCTCATGCCTGTAGTCCCAGCTACTTGTGAGGCTGAGGTGGGAGGATCACTTGAGTCCAGGAGGTCAAGGCTTCAGTGAACTATGATTGCACCACTGCATTCCATCCTGGATGACAGAGTGAGACCCTGCCTCACTCTAAAACAAAAGGAAATAGAAAAAATGATCTAAAATTCATATGGAAATACAAATGACCTCAGATAGCCAGAGTAAACTTTAGCAAAAAGAATGAAGCTGGAGGCACAGCACTACCTCATTACAAAATATATTACAAAGCAATAGGAATTAAAATAGCATGGTACTGGAATAAAAACAGAAGTATAGACTAGTAAAACAGACTAGAGAGACCAGAAATAAATCCACATATCTATACCCAACTGATTTCTAACAAAGGTGTCAAGAAGACACAATGGGTTAAAGACAGACTCTTCAATAGTAGTAGGAAAACTGAATACCTACATGCAGAGGAATGAAATTGGACCCTTATTTCATGCCATATACAAAAATCAACTCAAAATGGATTAAAGGCTTAAAGGTAAGACCCCAAACTATGAAACTACTAGAAGAAAGCATAGAGGGAAAGCTCCATTACATTGTTTTGAGCAAAAACATATTTAGATATCACCTCAAAAGCATGGGCAGCAAAAGCAGAAATAGACAAATGAGATTACATCAAAATAAAAAAAGTTTCTGCACAGCAAAGGAAACAATCAACTGGGCAAAAACACAACTGAAGAATGAGAAAACTATTTTCCTAAAGAATGAATACCTTCTAGGTCAGTGAATAAAAGAAAGGCCTTCAATAAATGAGAGTAAAACATTTGAAATTCATTATGGTAAGAGATTTAGGAGGGTATTTGAGAAGGCCTAATGAAAAAGCCTTGAAAATGGTGAGAGGAGCTAATATGTGAGAACGTTTTATCACATTTGGAGTCTGGGGTAAGGTAAGTGTGGGAGATCAGTCAGAGTGGTGGGAGATCAGTCAGAGTTGTGGGAGAAGGTATAGGGAAAGGAGCAGGCCTTCTGAAAGATCAGAAGGCTCTGTATAGCTTCAGGAATGAATAAGCTGAAGGCAGCTGTTCTCTTACCCTGAGGCAGAGGGCAAGGAGTTGGTACAAGGAAGTGTAGGGGAATTTGGCATAAACAGGCTGGTTTACTTATGTTGTCTGGAACCGACCTTTGATCATCAGGGCAGGAGACTGCTCCCTGAAACTGGGAACAATGTTAATTACCCACAGACTGTGTTGGCTCCAGGCTTTCATTATTTTGTCTGTACTGAATAAAAGCAAGCAGCTCCAACTGTTCGAGACTGCTCACTCTTCAGCCATTAGGGCAGTCCCTGGCTGCTCTTAGACTGCATACCTGTGTCTGAGTACTCCTTTCATCCGTCGCTTGGCCAGGGTCTGCAGGATGGACCCGGCAGCTGGTGCCCTGTGTGAGGAACGCTGCAACGGACTGCGACAGAACCCTCGAAAACGAAGGTGAAGAGACTGTGCAGTCAGTAAGTCATTGGTGCCCCCTCGGGATTTCCAAGTTCGAGGGAATTTTCAAGCTAGGGTTTCATCATGGGACAACAGTTATCAGCTCAACAGTATATAAAAGTATTGAAACTGCTGCTTAAAGCTAGCAGAGCCTTGGTTTCACAGGCTCAGTTAAGGGACCTAATGCAAACTGCTGCTTCCCATAACCCATGGTTCCTGGAAGAAGGCACACTAGATGTAGAGCTCTGGGAACAAGTTGGGGGAAATCATAAACAACATCATGCACAAGGGCAACGGGTCCCAGTAACATCTTTAACATTATGGGCCTTAGTCAGGGCTGCTTTGGCCCCTCTCTGCACAGAAGAGCCTAAAAAGGGAAGGGAGGAGGAGGAACCATCACCTACCTTACCGCCTCCTCCTCCTCCCTCAGCCCCACTATTACCAGGTAAAGCTGCCAGAGAGGAGACACAGATTTTCCCTGAGCACCCCCCGCCCCCACCCCAATAAATTGCAAAAAAGACAAAGGATACACTACAGTCCTAGGCAAGTGGCATTAGAAGGGGAACTCTTGGCCTGCCCGGTGATGCAAGATCAACAAGGCAACTGGGTACGTGAATCCATTAGTTTCAACACTTATAAAGAAATAACAAAAAAGCATTAGAGAAAACAGAGCCGCTAGCCCATTTACACGAGGATTAATCGAGGCCATAGCAAACAACTTCCATATGGCCCCTTTCTAATAATGGCCACTGTTGTTATTCTTCCCCGACCCCTGACATGGCTCTTTCAAGATCCTATTTGGGTTGAACAGTGGCCTTTAAAGGGAGAGAAATCACAAACAGCCCATGAATTAGTTGAAGAACAATTAAAAGCCAGCCATATAGAACCGTCAAACGGCCCTTGGAATCACTCATTTTCATCATTCCCAAAAGGTCTGCTAGATGGAAACTTTTGCATGACTTACCTGCCATCAATGCTAATTTGCAACCTATGGGGCCCCTTCAACAGGGGATCCCTTCCCCCATGGTGATTCCTCAAGGTTGGCCCATATTGACTCAAAAGACTGTTTTATTGACTTTAAAGACTGCTTTTACACTATTCCCCTTGCAAAACAGGACAGAGAAAAATTTGCATTTACAATACCAGCTATCATTAATGAAAGGCCAGCTCAGAGGCATGTCCCCTCCATCAACACGTGTTAACCCTAGAGGACTAGAACCTAATCAGTTATGGCAAACAGACGTTACGCACATCCCTGAATTTGGAAAACTAAAATATGTACATATATCCATTGATACCAATTCCCACCTAATTAGCACTCATGCTCTTCCCGGAGAGTTTGCCCAGTATGTCATTAAACATATTCTCTTAAGTTTTGCGTTTATGGGGCGGCCCACAAAAATTAAAACTACTAATGGTCCAGCTTACACCAGCTCACAATTTCACCAATTTTGTCACACATGGATGTCCAATATGTGACATCCACAGGCATCCCGTACAAATCCCAAGGACAAGTCATAGTAGAACATGCCCATTCCACCCTTAAAAATATGCTCAGAAAACAAGGGGGAATATGAGTAAGGATGCTGCAACACTACTAGCATAAGCCTTATTTACCCTTAATTTTTTTAATTTAGATAAATTTCAATCAGCCATAGAAAAGCATTTTGCAAAAGCCCCTCAAGACATAAAACCCATGGTTTTATGGAAAGAAGTTAATAGTAATCTATGGTGTGGTCCAAATGATTTGCTGACCTGGGGAAGAGAATATGCTTGTGTTCACACGCCCTCAGGTCCTCTTTGTATTCCAGTGTGACAGACACATCAAACCATACCATGGCGTGGCTAAGACCCAAGCTGGTATCAAAAATAAAGGAAACGACGCTGCAGGACCCGCAGCCCCAGACGATGTGGCTTCCTCCGATGACACAGGCCCCAGACATTACCTGGGGGAAGCTGAAGAAGACAACTCAGGAGGCCGAGTGAATCCTTCTCTGGACACAGACACCATCACTCCAGATAATCTGTTCCTTGCTATGCTCTCTATTGTACCTTGCAACTCTCATAGGGTATTCACCTTTCTTATTCTCTCACTTTGCCTGCAACTCATACCTGCTACATTCTATTGGGCCCATCTTCTAAGATCTGCCTTTCTTCCAACCTGTTACCTTGGCAGACACCCCCTTCCCATCCTCTAATAATGTAACTGCTTAGCTGGGAGGGGTTGACATGCCCCCAGTGGGGTTCCTTAATAATGGCACACATTGAACTGAGGTGCCAAGTAACACTACATATCTCTCCTTGATTGGAAAAGAATAATAGTGACTATACTAATGTTTGACTTATGTTATTTACTAATTCTAGGATGCAAAGCCGGAACACGAGCTGTAACCGCTGCGCCTGTCAAATCTGTCACTGCACACATCTGTACTATTCAATCAACAAAACCCGATGCTAAAAACAGAAAAGGGGGAGACGCGGGAGATCGGTCAGAGTGGTAGGAGAAGGTATAGGGAAAGGAACAGACCTTCTGAAAGGCGGGAAGGCTCTGGATAGCTTCAGGGATGAATAAGCTGAAGGCAGCTGTTCTCTTACCCTGAGGCAGAGGGCAAGGGGTAGGTAAGGAAGTATAGGGGAATTTGGCATAAACAGGCTTGTTTACTTACATTGTCCGGAAACCGACTTTGATCATCAGGGCAGGAGACTGCTCCCTGAAAGGGGGAATAATAATGTTAATTACCCACAGATTGTGTTGGCTCCAGGCTTTCATTATTTTGTCTGTACTGAATAAAAGCAAGCAGCTCCAGCTGTTCGAGACTGCTCACTCTTCAGCCATTAGTGCTGGGCATTCCTGTAGCTGCTCTTACACTGCATGCCTGTGGCTGAGTACTCCTTTCATCCGTTGCTTGGCCAGGGTCTGTGGGATGGACCCCGCAGGTAAGGGTTATCAAAAAAAAAAAAAATTCACAGGCAGATAGGAACACCATGACCATACTAAAAGGCTTTTTTCCCATTTTAGTCTTGCAAGTTTGTAAAGAAGGATATGAAGCCCCTAAGAAATCAGTGAAACACTTTTTCCCAAAACCTTTATTTCCTATGTCTTGTCTTCAGAAGTTTATCTAGAAACTCCCCAGCTAGTTTAGTATTGAGGAGGGTACCAGATGGACTATCTATGTGCTAAGAAAAGCATACCACTGCATGCAACTAAATATCTGCAATATCATTGCATATGTAGTACATGTCATGTGTTACTCCACTCTTAGAGGTTTCAATCACACCTAATTACATGTGATTGCCACTCTCCTGAGTAGGACACCACACACATACACAGCATTCCTGAAAATGGGAGCACAGCCTAAATACTTAATCACACACTTTTCAAACAACCTCTCAAATGTTTTCAGTCTGTAAGTGGCCGTTGGCATTTATGTAAATGATTCCTGAAGAACCTACATCATTTTTTATTCACTCATTCCCCCTTGAGTGTTGTCCACTCATGGTTTGGAGTTTTCACATGGCAGTTTTCAGGACTAAGAACCTTCCTGCTAGGCTCTCCTGCTAACGGGAAAAATCTCATTCGATGCCTTATTCTATTTCTTTTCCCATTGTTTTATATAAAGTATTAATGAGTAGATTGCATTCCCCAGATTCAGTAGCTACCCAGACACTACACTCTATCTCACCAATCTGTGCCTATCATCCAAAGATCTGAGTTCTTCTACCTGAGTTCCTTACTACAACTCCTCACTACAGAATAAGCAAGGACATCACACAGGATCCTGGAAGCAAAGAAGAGAGAATAATCAGTGAGTGGTAAGATGGAGAGAGTAGAATTTCTTTTATCCTCATCAAATTTTGAAGTGAAAAAAAAAATCCCATTTTACTTACCAGGAGTGATCTACAAAACAGAAATTGTGCTAGGCACCCAGACACTCTTAGAGATTTTTCAGTTTCTGGGTTTTCTTCGTCTTTTCTGGGAGCAAGGTTCTTTTTAGCATGTGTTTGCATTTTTCCAATCTGAGACACATGCTACTAGGTGACTGTGTTTCCCTGCAAAACTAAAATTAGCACACACAAAAATATGGACACAATTTTGGTGACTGGATTTCAGAGACTGAGAACTGAGAATTTAAAGTGACTGTGGCTTACAAAATTACCTGTTCCCCTATCTCCTAATCAAGAGCAACAATATACTTGTGGGTTTAAGAAGCCTCCAGAATTTCTCATCCACTCCACAAACCCAGTTTAGTGTTTCAGAGGCTAAATACTAGGCATGTGAGGTTAGAGGTCAGGGGCCTGCTACTATAGCCATTCTTCATCACAGGGTTTAGGCTCTATACCAGGTGCAGCCGGCGGAGATAATTGAGTACGTAATACTCCTCATCTCAGCTTAATCATCAGGGGGAGCTTCCACTTTGGGTGAGGCAAACCAGAACACTAGAATCCACTGCTATCACTCATCACCCTGGTTGTAAAGCAGGGGTGTCAGTGTACAAGAAGCAGGACACTGCCTTATTCTCAGCTTGGGGCAACTGCTCAGGGATTTGTCCATTGAGAGAGGCTAGCCCTAAGAGAAAAAGCATTAAAGCTTTCCTTCTCAAAAGAAAATGACTTCAGTTGTAACAGAAGACAAGAAAGGTCTCACAAATAATGTAGACTGTGGTGCCAAGTAATTAGGATGGAACTGGAATCAGGAAACAGACAGCTAATAAGAGCCTTTCTGGTAGGAGAATAGCCTTTAGAGACCTGCCCCAAAAATTATCTGCAAAGTATTTGGATAAGACTCTAAAGCAATTTTTGCCCATGGTATTCTCAAAAGCTACAAAATAATCCACCTGCAAACACTGAAGCTTATTACCTGTGTGTGATACCGCAGAGGCAGGCAGCTTAACAGAAAGAGCAGCAAAAGAACAAAGAACTCTACTAAAATCACGACAGTTTAGAGTGACTGTGTACATATCCAAAGTTATACCTTGCAAGGAACAACATTAGGTTTTCACAATAAAAAGAATATAGATTTTACTAAAACAGCACAGCCAAGTAAATCAACAAATAAAAAAATCAGACAACAACAATCCCCAGAAGCAAGATCTGCATCCAAAACTTCTATAATATATTAATAAAATATCCAGTTCTCAACTGGACATTCTCAGACATACAGAGAAAATAAAAATATAACACACAGGACAAAAGTAGATTACAGAAAATGCTGGCAACAGAGCCTAATGTTATACTTAACAACAACCTTAAAGCATCCACTGTAAGTATTTTCAAAACACTAAACAAATGGTGCTTGGAAGAGTAAAGGCAGCTATGTTGACAATGCCTCATCAAAAGAGTCTATCAATAAAGAGGTAGAAATATTTAAAGAAAAGGAATTTATGGAGTATAAAAGTAAAATAATTGAAGTGAAAAATTCACTAGAAGGACTCAGGAGAAAAAAGAATCAGTGAACTTTAAGATACCTTGAAAGTGATAATTCTATAAAAATAAAAGAATAAAATGAGTGAAGAAAATGAACAGTGCCTCAGAGAAAGGCAGAACACCAGCATGCACATCAAAATACGCATATTAAGGTAGCAGAAGTGAAAGATAGAAAGGAGCAAAAAAGTATTTTTTAAAAATGGCTGTGAATATCTAAATTTGATGAAAAACATTTTTTATTATACCTAAGAAGTGCAAAACACTACAGGTAGCATAAACAAAAGAAATCCAAGCTGAGAGACATATCTACTTTTTGGTGACAAAAAAAGAGAATATTGAAATCTACTAGAAAAAATAAACTTAATGCATACAAGGGATCCTCTACAATATATTTCGCTGACTTTTCATTAGAAACCATAGAGGCCGGAAGACACTGGAATAACATTTATAGTGCTAAAAGGAAAACAGTCAACCAAGAATCACGTACCTAAATTTAGACACTCTAAGATATGGCATTAAAATGTAAACCATAAAATAACAAATGGTGAATCATCCTTTATGAAAATACAAAAAAAAAAAAGTTTGCTCTGTACAACACATGGTTAAGGGAATGCAAAAGTAAACCACAGACTAAGAAAAAATATTTGAAAATCACATATCTGGGCCGGGGACGGTGGCTCATGCCTGTAATCCCAGCACGTTGGGAAGCCAAGGCAGGCGGATCATGAGGTCAGGAGATTGAGACCATCCTGGCCAACATGGTGAAACCCTGTCTCTACTAAAAATACAAAAAATTAGCTGGGCATGGTGGCACACGCCTGTAATCCCAGCTAGTCAGGAGGCTGAGGCAGGAGACTCACTTGAACCAGGGAGTCAGAGGCTGCAGTGAGCCGAGATCGTGCCACTGCACTCCAGCCTGGTGACAGAGTGAGACTCCGTCTCAAAAAAAAACAGAAAAAAAGAAAGAAAGAAAAAAAATCACATATCTGACAAATAAATTGAATTCAGAATGCATAAAAACTCTCCCAACTCAATAAATATGGGGAAAATACCTTAACAGACAATTCAACAAAGCAGATATATGAATGGCAAATAAGTATATGAAGAGATGCTTAACATTTCGTCAACAAAGAGATGCAAGCTGAAACTATATTGACAAAACACACGTATTAGAATAGCCTATAAAAATAAAAACACTCAAAAACCATGCTCATACCAAGTGCAGATAAGTATTTGGGTAAGTGGATCACTGATACATTGTTCATGACAGTACAACATAGTAATTAATGCCATTCTTGAAGAGTTTTTTTCTATTTCTCTTAAATTTAACTTAGAGTTAACATACTTAACATAAATCCCACTTTGAGCTATTAACACAAAATAAAACTTGTGTTTGCACATATATCTGTATGCAAACATATACCCTAGCATTATTCATAATCACTAACAATTGGAAACAACCCAGATGTCCTTCACTTATGACTAATATTCTATTCAGTAATAAAAATAAGCAGGCTATTGATTCTCTTCCTGACTCCTCCCTCTGTTTTTCTGTCTTTCTCTATGCCCTTCTCCCTCTATGTATGTCTCTCTGTCTCTGTTTGACTCCATCTCTCTCTCACCTCACTGCATTAGGAAGGGACACCAAAAGGAAAATATAACTACATCCCTTTTTTTAAAAAAAAGTGACAAAATCAAAGAGTATAAATTTCTCAGTGTGATACACAAACTGTAATAAATTGGTAATTTTCATTATATTCAAGCATGCTTTCAAAAGAATGAGCATTTTCCAGGTCCCTGAAAAAGCCCAATAAAAGACACTGGGCTTCAAGCAGATTAGGACCTGGGAAGCAGGAAGGAATTTGGGAAGAACCATGGAGAAGCTTTGAAGATAATGAGGGCAACTGAAAAGTGAGAATGGGTTAACAGACCTGGATGTAGGGGCAGGAAATAGGTTGTGCAAAATTAATCATACTCTTTATGAAGAGAAGAATCACATAACCACACTGAAAGACTGTTCCTATTTTAGTCAGGCAATTTTGGAAAAATGTGTACAAATCCCAGGGGGGGAAATAAAAACAAACAAAAAAAAACAAGCAAAACAACAACAACAACAAACCTCAACAGGAGAATTTTTTCTCAGTTTCTTGTAGTCCTCAGACTTGCCTCAGAGAATTCACTTAATTGGTTTATCTAAAGTAGACCAGCAAGAGGGACAGAGAGGTATACGGGGTGGCATATATGTACTCTAGGGAAACCATCTCTCTGCATGCAACTAAATACCTCTAAATTCACCCACAGTGTCATCACATATGTTGTACATGATGTGTGTTACTCCACTTGTAGAGGTGTCAATCATATTTAATTATGCATGATTATCACTGTCTGGAGCAAGGTACCATACACAGCATTTCACTATCAGTATTGAAAATATTTGCTCTGTAAATAAAGACAAACTTGAGAGAATTCAAACAAGAAATTAGAGACTGGGAGAAAATATATACAAATCACATTTCTGCCAAAGGATTTGTAATCAGAATACACAATAAACAAAAAATTCCACAATAAGAAATCAAAAAATCCAATAAAATAAAATAAAAAATCTCAATAGACACTTAATCATAGAAGACTGTGGATGGCCAATAAGCACATGAAAAATTGATCAACATCATTAGTCAATTAAAAAAATGCAAGTAGCATTAGGAGATATACCTAATGTTAAATGGTGAGTTAATGGGTGCAGCACACCAACATGGCACATGTATACATATGTAACAAACCTGCATGTTGTGCACATGTACCCTAAAACTTAAAGTATAATTAAAAAATGCAAGTTTGAACAACAATATAATAAGTCAATAAGCCATAGAGAATGGTTATGAATATTTGTCAATACCAAGTTTTGGTGATGATTTGGGCAACTGTAACTATGATGCATTGTTCACAGAAACACAATATGTAAAGCCATTCTGGAAAATAGTCTTCTTAGGTTTCTTAAAAAAATCAATTTAAACAAACTTTTCATAGACCTAGCAATCCCACTCTAGCTATTTATAAATGTGAAATGAAACTTGTCTTCTCACATACGTCTGTATGCAAACTTTACAGTAGCTTTATGCATAATCACCAACAACTGGAAACAACTCATTTCATTCACATTTGACTGTAATACTACTTAGCAATTACAACAGAATATTAGTTCCTACAGAAACATGGATGAATTTTGAATGCATTTTAAGTGAAAGGAACCAGACCAAAGACCAACATAGCATGAGACTGCAATTATGCAGTCTGGAAAAAGACAGACTATAAAGGTGGAAAACAGAGCAGTGGTTACCAGATGTTAGGCTGGGCTGGGGATTTACTACCCAAAAGGCAGAATGAGGTAATTTTGGGGGCAATGTAACTTTTCTCTATCATGATCATAGTAATAGATACAGAACTACAAGTATTTTTTTAAAACCCATAGAACACCCCACCACCATTGAAGAGTCTTATTTTTTTTAAATGCTTATTTCTCACAATCAGTGTCCCAAGAACAGAATTCTCTCTCTGACACACTCTGGAATTCAGGGAGAGCATCAGGGCATGGGACATTTTATGTCCTAGATGTTTTAAAGATCAGAGAAATCAACAGCAACTAAATGAAAAAACACATTTTAAAAATTTCACCAAAAGCCATACATAAAACATCCAAAAACCTTGTGTCCCCAATAACACATAGCAAAAAATAAATCAGAAGACAATAAATGAAAGAAAACAACACAAAATCTGATCACAATTAATGAACTGTGATCAGAAGATATTTGCGGTGTGGCCATGATAAGAAATAAAAGAGACATTTCTCCTGTCTTGGTAAGTAAATGTTCACAAAGGATTGAAGTATGGTGATACATATGCCTTATTGATGCAGACAAAATATCACAAAGAGCCATTTCCAACTCAACTCCCTGATCAGAATTAAAGGAAAAACACACCAGCTTATTTTCTTTTGTCCAACACAAAGAAGTAAGATTTGTGTCTTGCTCCTTAGACACTTTTCCAGTCCAGCTGACAGCACCCAAGCCTATGGTACTTAGCATCCCCAACTCTCTCTGTAGAAAACCAAAAGATATCGAACTTTTTGTGAAGAAACAAATAAAATTATATCAAACAGCAAAATTATTTGGGTACTACGCATAAGCCCTAATAAACTGATGACTTGTAGAGGATTCAAAGATATTTTCAAAAGAACTACCATCTGTTGGGCCCACGAAGAAAGCAGATTCAACATCAGAAAGTCAAAAAACTGAGCTTCAGCAGAGTAGATAACTTAAAAGTGGGAGGCCATTTGGAGAGGGCTAAAGGAGAAGACTTTAAAATCATGAGGGGAACTGTTATGGGAGAACAGGTTAAAGGATTTGAGGGATAACATAGGCAAAAGCTTTTACAAAAAGAAAAAGAAAAAGAAAAAGAAAAACAAAAACAAAAATCTACCACAAAGGCAACGAGGCACACTGTCATCACACTGAAAGTCTTTTTCTCATTTCCATCAAGCAACTTGGGAAAAGGAATATGACTCACAGAAGAACCATGGGAGTTCCTAGGACTTGCCTCTGAAAGGCACTTAAGAGGCTTCCCTTGAGGGAGGCCAGCACTAGGGGTTTGAAGAGGTATTATACGTGCATTTTAGAGAAAGCTTCCCTCTGTGTACAATAAAACACCCTCAATGCACCCACAGTGCCATTGTCTGTCGTACGTGTCATGCGTTACTCTACTCACAGAAGTGTCAATCAAATTTAATTATACATGATTGTCACTCTCCAGAGTAGGGTACCACAGACAACATGTTTAAGGATGGAAGCCCTCCCTAAGCACCCATTTGTGCACTTTTGAAACAACTTCTCAATGCTTTCAGGCTGTGAGTAGACACTGACAGTTGTCCAAATAACCTATGCAATACCCACTCGTCTTTCTTCATTCATCCCTCGAGTGCTATCCCCTCATGTGTCATGGGTTTTACATGGCAGTTTTCAGAACTTTTTGTCTAGGTTCTCTTGCTCATGAAAGAAATATTCTTGCATGCTTTTATCGCAATGAATCAGCAGTATGCAGTCCTCAGATCCAACAGTTAAGCAGAAAATGCTTAACTCCAGTCTTAAAAGATCTGAGGCCCTTTACCTAAGTTACTTACCTCTACTCTGGAACCACAAAGTAAGTGGTGAAAACACACAAGATCCTGAAAGCAAAAAGAAGGAAAATAATCTGTGATTGCTGTGGTGGAGATAATAGAAATTTATTTTCTTTCTTAGACCCTGGAGTAAAAAGAAGCCCATTTTACTTACTGGAAGTGATCTATAAGACAGATATGAGCTTGTGGTCTAGAGATGCCCTCATATAACTCGCAACTTAGAAATTTTCTTAGTCTATTCCTGGAGCAAGGTTGTTTAGAGCATGTTTTTGCATTTTGTTATCCAACACACATGCTATTTGGTGTCTGCATTTCCCTAGGACTACTGAACCTGGTACAACAAATTACAGAAGAACAAATATTTCTAGAGTCCAGGGACTGAAAGAAGTTTTAACTCCAGCACATCTTGTAGGCTTCTTAAAAATTGAATTTTTATTGTTATACAAATTTCATATTCATCTAAACTCACACAAGTGTGCACTAAAAAGCAGCTGTATTATGTATATGCATGTTAATTACATATATATGTAATTGCATCTATATTATGTATATGCATATGTATTTACATGTTAATTACACGTATATATGTAATTGGCATTAAGGGGTTAGAAGGAAATTCAAGTAAAAAGATTCACAGCCTTAAATTGGAGTTTCTTTTAGAACTTAGCAGCTACAGGCTGAAAGTATTTTTAAATATGGAAGTGGGAAAGTTTGAGAAACATCAACCCTAGTTTATAAGTTTTTATTGAAACAACAATGAATACTAAAGGAAATCATCTCAATGCCTGAACATCTTGAAATCTTCCTTCTTTAATATGAAAAATACGAAGCCTATATTTATAGCTGCAGGAAGCCCAGCATCTTTCCAAAAAGTACTAGTATTTCTAAGAAGATGTCAACTCTTCTCAGCATTATTAACCCCCATATTCCTCATCTTAGCTGAATGCCTTAAGGCCCACTGGCCACTTTTTGCCTCTATTTTCTCTGTGAAGCTTACCAAAAAGAAAGAAACACCACCTTCCCCTCCATTTCTCAAGGGAGAGAAAAAAGGTTATAGTAGAGGAAGCCCCAATCTCCTGTGGACACTGACAAGTTTTGTTATCAGAGAGCTTGACTGTAATCTGCCTGTCCAATTCACCCTTCTCTCTTCTCTTGCCACCATGTTGTCTTGT
Source organism: Homo sapiens (assembly GCF_000001405.40). Lineage (NCBI taxonomy): Eukaryota > Metazoa > Chordata > Mammalia > Primates > Hominidae > Homo > Homo sapiens. The sequence goes on from NC_000023.11 coordinate 147,280,856, forward strand.
GCTGGGCCATTCTCTATTCCATCCAGTAAACATGCAGAAGCACATACATCAGTCATCATAGCCATGTGCTGGCTTTAGGCTGATAGAGGATAAGAATTTAGATTCATTCTTTCAGACATACCTGTGCACAGTCACAATCAGTTTAACAGGCAGCTGCAACATTTTAAGACAAGAAACTCATGTTCCAGTCTCTGATCCGTTTTCCTTGTGGTCAAGGATATTCAGTGCTGGCAAAAGAATACATTAAAATATCTTCAATTTCTTACTGGCACTTTTTGGAAACCTCCCAGGGAGAGAAAACCCCCTCCACCTAAAACATCATGGCAACAGTCACTGTCTTCTTTTTCTCTTCACCTCATATTCCACTGCCTTGGGATTATACTACACAGCTTGACAGAGTCTTTGTCTGTATGTTGTTCTTTCCTTTTCACCTCTAAAACCAAAGTGCCTCAACAGTCCCCTGAATTTGTGACATAAAATCCCTTGGAACAGGATGCAACTGTAGTGGGCTGCAGATGGGTATGGACATCAAAAAAGATAGACAGGAAAAACTGAGATTCCCTTTCACTGCCAGGGAAGAAGGACTGTCTTAGAAGCATTGAGAGATTAGAGATTGGTTCGACTCCTTAACTTAATACAAAACTTTGCTCCATAGTGCTTTCCTAGAGTAGTCTTCTCTGACCACCTCATTTGAAATTGCACACCTCTTCCTCTCTGCCATACTGCCCAAACCTCAATTCGTTTTATTGTTTCTCTATAGTACTTAAAGCTATAACACATAGTTAACATTCTATTCAGTTATTACTTCTTGTATATTTGTACCAATAGCATATCAGCTTTTTGAAGACAGAAAGTTTTGCCTCTCCCTTTACACTACTGTATTTGCAGCACTGATATACAGTATGATGTGCTTGATGATTTCCTGTTGAACAAATCAGTGGCCTCTGAAAGGCACTTAAGAGGCTTCCCTTGAGGGAGGCCAGCACTAGGGGTTTGAAGAGGTGTTATACCTGCACTTTAGAGAAAGCTTCCCTCTGTGTACAATAAAACACCCTCAATGCACCCACAGTGCCATTGTCTGTCGTAAGTGTCATGCGTTACTCTACTCACAGAAGTGTCAATCAAATTTAGTTATACATGATTGTCACTCTCCAGAGTAGGGTACCACAGACAACATGTTTAAGGATGGAAGCCCTCCCTAAGCACCCATTTGTGCACTTTTGAAACAACTTCTCAATGCTTTCAGGCTGTGAGTAGACGCTGACAGTTGTCCAAATAACCTATGCAATACCCACTCCGCTTGTCTTTCTTCATTCATCCCTCTTGAGTGCTATCCCCTCATGTGTCATGGGTTTTACATGGCAGTTTTCAGAACTTTTTGTCTAGGTTCTCTTGCTCATGAAAGAAATATTCTTGCATGCTTTTCTTGCAATGAATCAGCAGTATGCAGTCCTCAGATCCAACAGTTAAGCAGAAAATGCTTAACTCCAGTCTTAAAAGATCTGAGGCCCTTTACCTAAGTTACTTACCTCTACTCTGGAACCACAAAGTAAGTGGTGAAAACACACAAGATCCTGAAAGCAAAAAGAAGGAAAATAATCTGTGATTGCTGTGGTGGAGATAATAGAAATTTATTTTCTTTCTTAGACTCTGGAGTAAAAAGAAGCCCATTTTACTTACTGGAAGTGATCTATAAGACAGATATGAGCTTGTGGTCTAGAGATGCCCTCATATAACTCGCAACTTAGAAATTTTCTTAGTCTATTCCTGGAGCAAGGTTGTTTAGAGCATGTTTTTGCATTTTGTTATCCAACACACATGCTATTTGGTGTCTGCATTTCCCTAGGACTACTGAACCTGGTACAACAAATTACAGAAGAACAAATATTTCTAGAGTCCAGGGACTGAAAGAAGTTTTAACTCCAGCACATCTTGTAGGCTTCTTAAAAATTGAATTTTTATTGTTATACAAATTTCACATTCATCTAAACTCACACAAGTGTGCACTAAAAAGCAGCTGTATTATGTATATGCATGTTAATTACATATATATGTAATTGCATCTATATTATGTATATGCATATGTATTTACATGTTACTTACACGTATATATGTAATTGGCATTAAGGGGTTAGAAGGAAAGTCAAGTAAAAAGATTCACAGCCTTAAATTGGAGTTTGTTTTAGAACTTAGCAGCTACAGGCTGAAAGTATTTTTAAATATGGAAGTGGGAAAGTTTGAGAAACATCATCCCTAGTTTATAAGTTTTTATTGAAACAACAATGAATACTAAAGGAAATCATCTCAATGCCTGAACATCTTGAAATCTTCCTTCTTTTATTTGAAAAATACGAAGCCTATATTTATAGCTTCAGGAAGCCCAGCATCTTTCCAAAAAGTACTAGTATTTCTAAGAAGATGTCAACTCTTCTCAGCATTATTAACCCCCACATTCCTCATCTTAACTGAATGCCTTAAGGCCCACTGGCCACTTTTCGCCTCTATTTTCTCTGTGAAGCTTGCCAAAAGTGAAGAAACACCACCTTCCCCTCCATTTCTCAAGGGAGAGAAAATAGGTTATAGTAGAGGAAGCCCCAATCTCCTGTGGACACTGATAAGTTTTGTTATCGGAGAGCTTGACTGTAATCTGCCTGTCCAATTCACCCTTCTCTCTTCTCTTACCACCATGTTGTCTTGTGCTGGGCCATTCTCTATTCCATCCAGTAAACATGCAGAAGCACATACATCAGTCATCATAGCCATGTGCTGGCTTTAGGCTGATAGAGGATAAGAATTTAGATTCATTCTTTCAGACATACCTGTGCACAGCCACAATCAGTTTAACAGGCAGCTGCAACTTTTTAAGACAAGAAACTCATGTTTCAGTCTCTGATCCGTTTTCCTCGTGGTCAAGGATATTCAGTGCTGGCAAAAGAATACATTAAAATATCTTCAATTTCTTACTGGCATTTTTTGGAAACTTCCCAGGGAGAGAAAACCCCCTCCACCTAAAACATCATGGCAACACCCACTGTCTTCTTATTCTCTTCACCTCATATTCCACTGCCTTGGGATTATGCTACACAGCTTGACAGAGTCTTTGTCTGTATGTTGTTCTTTCCTTTTCACCTCTAAAACCAAAGTGCCTCAACAGTCCCCTGAATTTGTGACATAAAATCCCTTGGAACAGGATGCAACTGTAGTGGGCTGCAGATGGGTATGGACATCAAAAAAGATAGACAGGAAAAACTGAGATTCCCTTTCACTGCCAGGGAAGAAGGACTGTCTTAGAAGCATTGAGAGATTAGAGATTGGTTCGACTCCTTAACTTAATACAAAACTTTGCTCCATAGTGCTTTCCTAGAGTAGTCTTCTCTGACCACCTCATTTGAAATTGCACACCTCTTCCTCTCTGCCGTACTGCCCAAACCTCAATTCGTTTTATTGTTTCTCTATAGTACTTAAAGCTATAACACATAGTTAACATTCTATTCAGTTATTACTTCTTGTATATTTGTACCAATAGCATATCAGCTTTTTGAAGACAGAAAGTTTTGCCTCTCCCGTTACACTACTGTATTTGCAGCACTGATATACAGTATGATGTGCTTGATGATTTTCTGTTGAACAAATCAGTGGCCTCTGAAAGGCACTTAAGAGGCTTCCCTTGAGGGAGGCCAGCACTAGGGGTTTGAAGAGGTGTTATACCTGCACTTTAGAGAAAGCTTCCCTCTGTGTACAATAAAACACCCTCAATGCACCCACAGTGCCATTGTCTGTCGTAAGTGTCATGCGTTACTCTACTCACAGAAGTGTCAATCAAATTTAGTTATACATGATTGTCACTCTCCAGAGTAGGGTACCACAGACAACATGTTTAAGGATGGAAGCCCTCCCTAAGCACCCATTTGTGCACTTTTGAAACAACTTCTCAATGCTTTCAGGATGTGAGTAGACGCTGACAGTTGTCCAAATAACCTATGCAATACCCACTCCGCTTGTCTTTCTTCATTCATCCCTCTTGAGTGCTATCCCCTCATGTGTCATGGGTTTTACATGGCAGTTTTCAGAACTTTTTGTCTAGGTTCTCTTGCTCATGAAAGAAATATTCTTGCATGCTTTTCTCACAATGAATCAGCAGTATGCAGTCCTCAGATCCAACAGTTAAGCAGAAAATGCTTAACTCCAGTCTTAAAAGATCTGAGGCCCTTTACCTAAGTTTACTTACCTCTACTCTGGAACCACAAAGTAAGTGGTGAAAACACACAAGATCCTGAAAGCAAAAAGAAGGAAAATAATCTGTGATTGCTGTGGTGGAGATAATAGAAATTTATTTTCTTTCTTAGACTCTGGAGTAAAAAGAAGCCCATTTTACTTACTGGAAGTGATCTATAAGACAGATATGAGCTTGTGGTCTAGAGATGCCCTCATATAACTCGCAACTTAGAAATTTTCTTAGTCTATTCCTGGAGCAAGGTTGTTTAGAGCATGTTTTTGCATTTTGTTATCCAACACACATGCTATTTGGTGTCTGCATTTCCCTAGGACTACTGAACCTGGTACAACAAATTACAGAAGAACAAATATTTCTAGAGTCCAGGGACTGAAAGAAGTTTTAACTCCAGCACATCTTGTAGGCTTCTTAAAAATTGAATTTTTATTGTTATACAAATTTCATATTCATCTAAACTCACACAAGTGTGCACTAAAAAGCAGCTGTATTATGTATATGCATGTTAATTACATATATATGTAATTGCATCTATATTATGTATATGCATATGTATTTACATGTTAATTACACGTATATATGTAATTGGCATTAAGGGGTTAGAAGGAAATTCAAGTAAAAAGATTCACAGCCTTAAATTGGAGTTTGTTTTAGAACTTAGCAGCTACAGGCTGAAAGTATTTTTAAATATGGAAGTGGGAAAGTTTGAGAAACATCATCCCTAGTTTATAAATTTTTATTGAAACAACAATGAATACTAAAGGAAATCATCTCAATGCCTGAACATCTTGAAATCTTCCTTCTTTAATATGAAAAATACGAAGCCTATATTTATAGCTTCAGGAAGCCCAGCATCTTTCCAAAAAGTACTAGTATTTCTAAGAAGATGTCATCTCTTCTCAGCATTATTAACCCCCACATTCCTCATCTTAACTGAATGCCTTAAGGCCCACTGGCCACTTTTCGCCTCTATTTTCTCTGTGAAGCTTGCCAAAAGTGAAGAAACACCACCTTCCCCTCCATTTCTCAAGGGAGAGAAAATAGGTTATAGTAGAGGAAGCCCCAATCTCCTGTGGACACTGATAAGTTTTGTTATCGGAGAGCTTGACTGTAATCTGCCTGTCCAATTCACCCTTCTCTCTTCTCTTACCACCATGTTGTCTTGTGCTGGGCCATTCTCTATTCCATCCAGTAAACATGCAGAAGCACATACATCAGTCATCATAGCCATGTGCTGGCTTTAGGCTGATAGAGGATAAGAATTTAGATTCATTCTTTCAGACATACCTGTGCACAGCCACAATCAGTTTAACAGGCAGCTGCAACTTTTTAAGACAAGAAACTCATGTTTCAGTCTCTGATCCGTTTTCCTCGTGGTCAAGGATATTCAGTGCTGGCAAAAGAATACATTAAAATATCTTCAATTTCTTACTGGCATTTTTTGGAAACTTCCCAGGGAGAGAAAACCCCCTCCACCTAAAACATCATGGCAACACCCACTGTCTTCTTATTCTCTTCACCTCATATTCCACTGCCTTGGGATTATGCTACACAGCTTGACAGAGTCTTTGTCTGTATGTTGTTCTTTCCTTTTCACCTCTAAAACCAAAGTGCCTCAACAGTCCCCTGAATTTGTGACATAAAATCCCTTGGAACAGGATGCAACTGTAGTGGGCTGCAGATGGGTATGGACATCAAGAAAGATAGATAGGAAAAACTGAGATTCCCCTTCATTGCCAGGGAATAAGGAATGTCTTAGAAGCATTGAGAGATTAGAGATTGGTTCAACTCCTTAACTTAATACAAAACTTTGCTCCATAGTGCTTTCCTAGAGTAGTCTTCTCTGACCAGCTCATTTGAAATTGCACACCTCTTCCTCTCTGCCATACTGCCCAAACCTCAATTCGTTTCATTGTTTCTCTATAGTACTTAAAGCTATAACACATAGTTAACATTCTATTCAGTTATTACTTCTTGTATATTTGTACCAATAGCATATCAGCTTTTTGAAGACAGAAAGTTTTGCCTCTCCCGTTACACTACTGTATTTGCAGCAGTGATATACAGTATGATGTGCTTGATGGTTTTCTGCTGAACAAATCAGTGGATATTTCATCTACTCTCAGCTGTTAGTTTCATGTATAATCTGGAGTTTTCAGACGACCTGTCTAAAATCATGTTGAAATCCCAACAGAGTCCACCAGGGAACTCTGATGCTCCTGTGAAGCACATGGGATTCAACTTGCTGAGTATAGAAAGTGCTAACTTGACAGAGTCTCAATATTGTCTAAATTGGAGTTTCACTTTGCCAAATTTAAGAAAGGCCGTATCTCCAGTGCAAGTCTGCGACTCTTTGGCCACACCTTCTTAGACTAAAGTGTTATAGACCACTAAAGGCATTATTTGGGACAAATTTTCCTTAAGGACTTCAATCACTACAAAAGTTGTACTTGTTGAGCATTACTATACTCAGAAAAGTACAGTTTGTAACTCAGTATATATGAATGGTACTTTCCTAAGTTAGGATACTCCACACAGCATAACCAAGGTTGCTTCTCTGGCCAATCCAACCTACTTCTTGTTCCTACCCAATCCCCCCAATCCATGGCATGACATTCATCATTTTTTCATAAGACATGGCATTGCCCACTCTATTGCCCTCCCACTTTCACTTGTCCCTGAGTAAAAGTCCCCTCGCTTGCTCTTTGAATTCTTATACAATTTTCATGCCCAAGAAAGAATAAACCTCTTTCTGTTTTTTCTTCCTCATGTAATAAATATATTCTTCCTCTCTAACTTGTTGTTTTACAAATTATTAGGAAGGAAGCATTGAAAATATTTGCTTTACCACAAAGTAAACCAAACCCAACCAAAAGAAAACAAAACAGCAACAACAAAATATTTCCAACATAATCCCATACTCAGTACTCCAAAATTCATTCATTTCAAATCTACATGAAAGTAGTCAAAACACACTAAGACATTTAATAAGAAAAGATTAGTCAAAGGGTGCAAATACTGAGTGGGCATAAACCCCATTTCCTGTATCTATTGAAAGGAAATTAACTTTTAAATTTATGACTGTTCAATTCCGAGAGAGAGAGAGAGAGATGAGCTTAAATCCAAGAGTTGTCTTCTTTTTCTCCTCTCAGCCCTTGATCAGAAGTCTAGCTGTTGACAATATGTTTTTCCATTCTGCGACACTGGCCATCAACAGTTTAACTTTTCTGTGACCAGCTGAATCTGATAGAAGATGAAAGAGAGTGTGTGAAGGAGATAGAGGTTACAAATCAGTCATAGTCAAGCAGAATAGGAACAGGATTATGCAAAATTCTGCAGAGAGAGAATAAAAAGGATTTGGAAACACACGTCTTGGCTATGTTACTTGCCATGGAGAGAGAAAGAAAGGCTCAAGGTTGAAATGTTTAAACCAGACTTCCCTAAGTCATTTTTTCTTTCAATAGGCTAAAAAAAACAAGTAAAGTTCTCATCTCATAAAACTGTTAGAACTTTCACAAATTCAGTAAGTATGCCTGAGCCATCTGTGACCCAAGTATCTAATCTATAAGAAGTTTGCTATGGGCAAAATCTTCATACTTTTTTTTTTTTAATCTGACAGTCTTCTGACTGGTACTCATTTCTGCTTCAGCTGTATCCTGCAGCCAATTGTATGGAAGTGTAATGGGGCAGAGAGAAATCTCCTACCTGGAGAACAAAGAAAAAGACAGTTGTATCTCCTCATGTTTGCCTTTAGGAAGGAAAGTATGAACTCAGAAGGTTACTTGAAGTGGGCAGTTAAGAACTAAACTCAACTGTATCATAGACTTGGTTGCTTGGGGTCTTTTAAAGACATAGGATGAAAGACTAAAGTAATACATTGACGGGTTTCTAAGTCCCTGGACTAACTATTCTCCTTGTCTTTGTGGAGTCAAAGGGTGCCTACCTGTACCTCTCAAACCCACTGTTGACCCTAGCTAGCTCTCATCTTTGACTTTTCTGAAATGGTATCCACAAGAACCAGACTATGTCTGTTATACCCCTCACTTGTTGTTTAATGTCTTTATGATATGGTAAATGTAGAATTAAATAGCATTTCCCTAAACACACATCCCCATTGCCCTTGCACTCATAAGAAATCCATTCCCTAATCCTTCCCTATGTGCTCACTTACTCTTCCTCTCAAATGCTCCCTCTGCTGCCCCTAAATGAATCACAGAGGCCACTCGATAGCTAAGTCTCTAAAATATTTTTAAATAATTAAAATTGGATCCTTTGCTCAATGGGTCCTTTAAAATGGGTTATTGCCTCCAGAACCTACTTCCAATCAAACTGAGATGATTTCTAAGATATCCTGGTCCATGATCAAATCGAAAAGCAATGTGCAGCAGTAAATTTTTATCATTGCCTGGCACATAATTCTACTTAGAAGCTGTACTGTAGCCATGCTTGGAATGAGTATATCATGTGTGTCAGCTTTCTCCACATATCTTTCATGAGACAAAGTCTCCTGAAAACCATCTAAGGCCACATTGGCCTCAAATCAGAATCTCAACATATTCCAGAATAATTACACACACACACACACACACACACACACACACACTCTCTCTCTCTCTCTCTCTCTCTCTCCACCTTTTCAGAATTAAATATACAATTAAATTTGAGAACGATCTTTAATGATGTCACTGCTATTGGCTATGCATATCTGGAGTAGTGAGACCTTTTGTCCAGTGCAAACATTAGAACTTATGAAGAAGGGGAGAAGACAACCTATGCAGTAGACACAGACTGTTCATGACAAGTAATGTTTGGAGATAAAATAGAAACTTCCTTTGTTTTGATCACAACTGAAATTTTCACCAAGGATTGAAGTAGGGATGTAATCTGTGATGGTCTGAGATGAAGGAATACCAGAAAGCCTAATTTTCCATAATCAATAATTTGGTTAAAGGGGGCTTTCCTGGTGGGAGCAATATGATTCTACCTAGTTCCCACAAAAGAATGCAAAACTTACAGCTTGCTTCCCAAGCACTGCTTCAGTTCCTCAGAAAATCTTCAACAGTTGGCTATCTTCTCTCTGTCCTTCAGTGTACGAAGTTAAGAATAAAAATCCAAAGGTAAATAAGAGGGGGGGGAAAAAGGCAATATAATATTTTATCATTACCCAAAGTTCTGAACTGTGGTTCTTCTTGCCCATGCATCATTGACATAATAACTAAAAAGTAAGTGATAGGTAATACATGCTAATAATACATTAATAAATACGAATTGAAACTGTGTAAGAGTATCATCTAGCTTAACCATGCTTAACTCTTAATAATTTGATGACTTAAAACATGATTCAAGGTGAGTCTTAAAAAGAGGAAATTTTGGTGCTAAACAGAGGAAAATCAGTGGGAAGACAGAGAGAGGCATGTTAACCACACCTCATGCTGTAGTCTCACCTGCTCAGACCCCTTTTCAAAAAGTGATATAAATCCCTGAAGAACATGTACATAAACATTTTCCCACGGGCCCTCATTCTCTATACCTAATTCCTTAGAAGGCACTTATTAGGGTCCCCTGATGTGTGTCAGCACTAAAAGTTTGGCACCTTGACTCAAGGAAGGGCAGCTGTGAGGAGATTGCCATACTTCTTCCCCCGGGGCCACTACTGATGTTGTACCTGTTGCACATTACCTCACTCCAAGAGGTGCATATTATGTTTTTAGCCACATAGATGGCACTTGCTGAGATGAGGTACTGCATACAGCATGGCTAAAATATCAGTCCTACCCAAACCCCAACACCCTTCACCATGCCGTTTCAATCAATATCCCAAGACTGCCAATGTGTGAGGGATCTGCAGGATATACTCAAACCACATGGAAAACAATCATCCCACTTCCCTCTATCTTTCACCATTTCCTGAGTGTGTACCTTCTACCTGCTGTGTATGTAATGAGACAGATTTTAGGACTTAAAGAGAATAAACTTTCCTCAACTTCCTTCTTCCTTTGGTACTTACGGTATCTGCCTACATTATTCTATTAAGTTTAAACTTAATATAGCTGACACATGAAAAATTAGTTTGCATTTCCCAGAAGTCAGTTATTAAGTAGAACAAACCTCTCAACTCATCCATCACATCTACATATTGCAGGCTAGAAAAAGCTCTACCGGAAGACAGCTGAACAGAATTCTCTGCTTATTCCCAACTTGAATATTCCGCATACTATTACATGGGCCTGACTTGGGCATCCTCTGGCCATGTGCTTCATTTAAGAGAGCAAGAAAGTTTCTCTCTTCTATTCATTCCCATGTCCAGACTCCATCGGTCTAGCAGGTTGCTTTGACAACTTCAACATAGAATTTAGAATTAAAACATTGTCAAGTAAACGTTGTCTAGCCAATAAAATTATTCAAAAATTTCAAATCCTTCAGTTGAATTTCTCAATATTAATTAAAGGAATCAAAGTTGCATTATACCATAACATTTAAATATACTACCTTCTCTTTCTATTGAAAGAAGAACCCAAACATGCCAAACATGCAATTCTTGTAAATCCTGTATAACCCAACATTGCAAACATGGACATGGGAATGAATAGAAGAGAGAAACTTTCTTGCTCTCTTAAATGAAGTACATGGCCAGAGGATGCCCAAGTCAGGCCCATGTAATAGTATGAGGAAAATTCAAGTTGGGAATAAGCAGAGAATTCTGTTCAGCTGTCTTCCGGTAGAGCTTTTTCTAGCCTGCAATATGTAGATGTGATGGGTGACTTGAGAGGTTTGTTCTACTATATTAAGAACCCAAACCCCAACCCCTTTCACCATGCCATTTCAATCAATATCCCAACACTGTCAATGTTGAGGGACGTGCAGGATATACAAGAACATGCCAAAGTTCTTCCTTCAACTACCACATCAATCACCCCAATTAAATCCAAATACCCAATAATAAAACAAATGTCTCTATCTGTCAACCACCAACCCAAGTGCTATTTCTTCTTCTCTTCCCCTGTCTCCTCTTTCGATTAACTTCAAAGGAATCATGACCACAGCATGGTATACATAAGAGGGTGCTGAACCTAAGGGCTCAGAGAAGCCCCCAAAACACAACTATTCTCCATTTCCATAATATGCAGGATCCAACCAGAGGAGAGAAACAACACAGTCATTTGAATAGGAAATATCTGATACAATGAATTATTAACTGAACATGGAGATTCAAGTAATAAGGATTGTCTAGCACAAAGTAATGTTAAATTTTTTAAAAATACAGTAATACCAGATATATAATAGCAGACATAACATCATGTAAAATTATACATAGTAGCCATTAACCCTCAGGTAACATAGGATTCATCTCAGTGTTGGTGTCCATTCTCCATATTTCCAGAGTTGGAGATATCACTATGAACTTGTGTTTGGCTTAACATGGAAAGAGATAATCACATATAGAAACTATCTTGCATGTATCACCAAATTGATTTTAAACTTCATAAGAAAAAGATCTATTGTAAACAACATATAGACACCTGTACGTACATGGGTTAGCATACACACGTACATGGGTTAGCATACACATATATTTTTACTTAAAAAGATAATACAATGATTTTATGAATATGCTGTTAAATTTGACATCTTGCATAAAATATACAAATTCTTTGAAATAAAAACCAAAGATCAGGAAAAAAAGATAATCTGAATAGTTCTTTTTTAATAAAGATATAGAGTCTTTGGGGAAAAAGGTAACCTTCCAACAAAACAAACTTTTTGCCTATGATGGTCTTTTTGATGTATAAACTTGGCTAGGTTACAGTTTCCAGATATTCATATGCTAATCTAGGCATTGTTTTGAAAATATTGTAGATGTGACTAAAGTTTGTAAGAGTTGAATTTAGTAAGGGAGATTATCCTAAGTAATCTGGATGGACTAGATTCATCAATAGAATTTTTTAAGAGCAGAGCCGATGATTGCATGAAGAAGAAGAAATTCTACCTATGGATATTAGCTTCAGCTTGGGTCCAAGGGTTACAGCATGCCCTTCCTGATGACTTGGCCTATGAATTTCAGACTCGTCTAGTTATCTCCAACAACTGCATAAGTCAATTCTTTGCAACACACACACACACACACACACACACACACACACACACACACACTACTTATATTCCCTGAAACAATTCTATTAATATAATATATATGTCCTACAGGACCCATATAGCTCCACTAGCATATTCTACCATACATTAAAGAAACAATATCAAATCTACTCAATCTCTTACAGACAATAAAGAGAAATAACATTTTCAACTCATTTTTGAAGCTGCTATTATCTTGTTTCTGAAACCAGACAACTGACTCAAAAGAAAAGTGAACCACATATTGATATTTTCCATAAATATCAGCACACATCTTTTTAAAAACAATTTATAGCAAACCAATCAAGCAATATATAAAAGGGTAATGCATTATAGTCCAACGAGGTTTGTTCCAGGAATGTAGGGCAGGTATAACATCCAAATACTGATGCAATTTACCTCATTAAAAAAATGACAAAAGCCAGATAATCATCTTGAATGATACCGAAAAGTATTTGAAAAAATCAGCCCCTATGAATAAATTCCTCAGTAAACTATAAGAGGTAACTTCTTCCTGATAAAGGAGAACAACAAAAAACAAAACTAACAACAAAACAATGCAAATATCCTACTTTGTGGAAGAAAAAAATGTTCTCTTCCTTAGTATTTGAGAGAAAATAAGGACATCTGCACTCATTGATTACATTTATTTTTTATGTATTTATTATTATTTTTTTGAAATGGAGTCTCACTCTGTCACCCAGGCTGGAGTCCAGTGTCACGATCTTGGCTCACTGCAACCTCCACCTCCCGGGTTCAAGAATTCTCCTGCCTCAACCTCCTGAGTAGCTGGGATTACAGGTGCATGCCACCATGCCCAGCTAATTTTTTGTATTTTCAATAGAGATGGGTTTTCACCATGTTGGCCAGACTGGTTGATTACATTTAATATTATACTGTAGGTCTTAGCTAGAGTAATAATTCAAAATAAATAAATTTATTAATAAAGGTACATAAATGATTGAGGAGGAAGTAAAGCTGTATTTGGAGATGGCATGAATAGTCCACGTGGAAAACCTAGGGCATGTACCAAAAAGTTACTAGAACTAGCAAGTGACTTTATCATGTTTGCAGAATAGAAAGTACAGAAAAATCACTTGCATTCTTCCGTGCTGGCAACGAACAGTTGAAAATGTGAAAAATAAGGCCACTTACAATAGCACCCAAAAATGGGCAGTGTTTAGGCTACTTTAGCTATTATATTTTGGTTCAAATAGGGATATACTTTTGTTATACCTTTTCCTAGGAAATTAATCTTGAAGTTTTCCTGTCTTTACATTTGAGGAAAATATAAACTTATTGTTAACCTCATGCCTTATAAACATTGCCTTACACATACTTTTTACTCTCTAAGCCTTTCATTAACCATTAGTCAGAAGAAGTATATTTTTGACCTTCAGTACAATTCAGTTAAATGAAAATTACTGACATTTATTAATATGTACAGACTTAGTGGGGTTCAAACCTAAGTGTGGTGTTTACCTGACTTTGAGCTCATACACTCAAGAAAAAGGGAAATTCAAATGCTTCTTTAACGACTTTTATGTAAAATTATAGGTAATTCTATCATCTCAAAGAAGGTTTATGAAATCATCTGTTTACCAGAGCTATATTCATATGATTGTTTTACCTTTCTGAGCAAACTGAGTTAAGGTCCTTGAATCAATATTAATATACTATGGGAAAGTAATTAAAAACAAAATATCAGAACAGAGTATTCTGAAAATAATTATGTATAAAATAGGACACTTTTGCATGTTTCATCAAAGTCTTTGCCACCAAGATTTGAGTGGATGAGATGCTTTCTACTGAAATATTTAATAGTGTGCAGAATGTAAATCTCATGAGGGCAGTGACTTGATTTTCTTCACTGCTGTATTTATAGATCCTACCACAATGTCTGCCAAACAGTAAAAATCAAAGAAGCCAGTGAATGACAGCTTTCTTTGCATTTAACTCTGTTGACTTTCAATAAAGCTAGAGATTTCTAATTCAAATGAAAAAGGAAAGTACTTGTCAAGAAGGAGGGAGTAACAGTAGCTCTTTAAATCATGACCACTTATATTATATTAATATGAAACAAAATAATACAGCATGGTAAAAGTTATGGAATAACTTGTATTTTTATTGCAATAAAAAAGGAAAAGGACACTTCCTGAAAAAGAAAATTAATATACCTCATAATATACAGGGAATCATTATTTCAAGAAATAATATATAGGATTCAATAAGATATACAGTGCCTAGTATAGTGTTGATACCTACTATGGGCTCAATAAATTATGGTCACTATGAAGACACAGGTAGCATAAAGAAAACAGAGAATCAGAATCAAAAGAAATACAGGATGAAGAAATTCTTCAACAACTAGCTTCTGGGAGACATTTTGGGCATTATTTACACCACCCTGAAACCTCCTTCTCTGTACCACCTCCTAGTCTTATGGCTGGTATCTTAAGAAGTAAGTCCCCACCAACTTACCACTCATTAGTCTAACCATGCCTCAAAGCCACATGTTCTAACACACAGGTCCAAGAACATTACATTGGTTATCTTTCCTCTTGCACATTTTTATTAGTATAATTATCTGTAATTCCTTTCCTTGTACCCAACTGATGATTATCATCTCTCTCCTAACCCCTGTGCCCTCTGTTTCTTCTCTGTTAGCAGTAAAATTCTCTAGATCCTGTTCCATTTTACCAGTTGCTGCCTCTTATTCCCATAATAACTGATACCTGGCTTTCCTCCAAGGATTATCTTACCCCCGTATCTTTTGCAGTGGAAACTACTTTTTCTGCCATGTACTAAAGCTCTCATGATCAGAGACCATTCAGAATTCACCTAGGTCCCCAGCAACTGCATGTTATACATGCTCTTTTCTCTTTCCACTATTTCCACCCTTTAGCTCAATGCTTAGTAAGAAGCCATATGACAGTGCAAGGATTTAGAGGATGGACTCGTAAACTTGTACACATTCAGCTATTTACTAGCTGAAAGATTCTGGACAAATTCTATAACCCTCTTGTCCTGTTCCAACTTCCTCATTTTTCTCATCTGAAGTAAGATGCTCATGCCCTTATTATGAGTTGAACTAAGCAGCACATATATATAAACTACAAAGGACAGTGCTTATCACCGAGTGAACGTTCAATAATTGTCACATGTTTTAATGACTCATTTCTGAAAACTTGTATGTTCGAATTTCCTATCTAATAAATTGTAATTGATCTAATGTTGTAGTTATTCTTAAAATTTTATGTTGCCTCACCGTTCTTTTTGAATGTAAGTTTAACTTTCCAATATCAGAAGCAAGGCTTAGTCCCCTTTGCCCCCGTTTCCGGTTCTCCATCTCCTCCCAGTTTCTCAATGTGGTCTCTCCAGGTATCTGCCTTATAAAACTGCATTCTGATGACGAGCTCTCTTTGGGACATATAAATACAACCTACTTGACTCACCCCAGTGACCCCCTCATCCTGCATGGATGTTGCAGGTATGGTAGAGATATGCTCCAATGACCACCTCTCAGTCACAGAGTGACCCCACAGAAGTCACACCTGCTTCCTCTAACCCCATCAATTAGAATTCCCTATGGGAAACCTGCTTGGGTAACTAACATCCTGGACCCCAATCAAAGCCTGAGGCCACAGGACCATCCCTTTCTCTGGCTGCCCACCTGTGGGTTAAGCACATAGCCCCTGCAACCTTCACATCAGCCCTCATCGGTACCTCCTGTTTTGGATCTATGAGGAATGAAGTGCTCCTGTTATTTCCTGTGTTTTTGTTGTGTTGTCTTTTTTGTGACTTACCCAACTGACACACCTAGACCTAACTTTCCTCCCCGGCAAAGAGAGCGCCTATCTTGGCAGGATTAGCCTGGTCATGTGTCAGACAAGGGGCACGAGAGCATCTGCCAGTGTAAACAGGTTGCCTGCAAGAGGGAAACACGTTGGACACTTAAGCATTAGACAATACACCAGGATAAAGAATTATTCCATGGAAGTCACAGCGTAAGCATCTACGCCCAAATCCTCTGGAGTCCCGTCAGGGAAGGGCTAGAATTTATACTCCCTTTGCAGACAGAGGCCTTAAAACCAAATTAGAAAAAGACAACACAAGTCATCCTCCAGTATATGTCTCTATTTCTCCCAGCCTTGATAGCCAAACTTCTTGAAAACATTGTCTATATTTGCTGTCTCCATTTTATTCAAAACTACTGACTTCAATTAGATTTATTCCCACAGTTCCACTACAACTACTTACTCCAAAGTCCCCCAGTGATTTTAAACTGCTTCTCTGCAATGTTCAGTTCAAAATATCTGATGATGTGTTCAAACTTAGAAGAAAAAAAAAGTATTTTTTATTTTTAAAATTCTTATTTCAATAGCTTTTGGGGTACAAGTAGATTGTTGTTATAAGTGAATTCTATGGTGGGGAATTCTGAGATCTTAGCGCACCTGTCACCTGAGTAGTATACATTGTATATAATGTGTAGTTTTTTTATCCAGAGTCTCCCTCCCACCCTCCCCCCAAGTCTCTAAAGTCTAGTATATCATTCTCTATGCCTCTGCATACTCATAGCTTAACTCCCACTTACAAGTGAGAAAATGCAGCTTTTGGTTTTACACTCCTGTGCTACTTCACTTAAAATAATGGCCTTTAGCTCCATCCAAGTTACTGCAAAAATACATTATTTTGTTCCTTTTAAAGGATAAGTAGTATTCCACAGTATACACACACCACATTTTCTTTAGCCACTCATTACTTGATGGGCACTTAGGTTAGTTCCACATCTGAGCGATTGTGAATTGTGCTGCTATAAACACATGTGTGCAAGTATCTTTTTCATATAATGACTTCAAAAAGGTACTTTTTTGATTAGTTATGTCTGTAAAGGACACAGAATGCATATTGTCTATATTTGTTAAACCTGTCCTACTTTTTATTGTCTCCAAGTATATACCTGTGTAAAATGTTTTGACTTCGTTACTTAATTTGTCTGCTACTACTATTTCAAATATTAATTCTGCTGGGTGTGGTAGCTCATACCTGTAATCCCAGGACTTTGGGAGGTCGAGGCAGGAGAATCACCTGGGCTCAGGAGTTCGAGGCCAGCCTGGACAACATGGTAAAATCCCATCTCTATACACACACATACACACACAAAAAAGCAAAAAATTAGGCAGGTGTGGCAACACATGCCTATAGTCCCAGCTACTTGGGAGGCTGAGGTGGGCGAATCACCTGAACCCAGGGAGGTTGAGGCTGCAGTGAGCCATGATTGTGCCACTGCACTCCAGCCTGGGTGACAGTGAGACCTTGTCTCAAAAACTATATATATATATGTATACACACACACACTATATATATATAGTATATATATATACACACTATATATATATAGTATATATATACACACTATATATATATAGTATATATATACACACTATATATATAGTATATATATATACACACTATATATATAGTATATATATACATACTATATATATAGTATATATATATATATATACACACTATATATATATATAGTATATATATATATACACAAACACACACAGAACAGAATTGGGGAAAGAGAGGTCTATTACCCACTATTATGAGACCACAGCTCTTCACATACAAAAGAAACCTCCAATCATTTTTGGAGTTCTTAGCATGTTTTAAAATGTTTTATAAATCCTCTTTAGATACCATATGCTGTCTTCCTTTTTTTTTAATTTTCTTGTTCCTTTCCCAGATCCCCATCATAATGTCTGCTGTGGGAGTTATTTCCAAAGAAAACTTTTAGTCTATCCCCCCCACCTCACGTTCTACTAAAACATATTCCCTACCCACTTTCCCAGCTGCAGTAAATGGCAACAACATTATTCAGTCATTCAGAGAAACTAGGAGTCATTCTTGAATCTTCTATTTGTGTCACCTTGACTGACAGACATATCCAATCCATAAGCAAGTTCTTTTATCTTTATTTCCAAATTAAAGCTCAATGTATCCACTCCTCTCCATCTCCACCACTACCATTCTCATTCAAGGAGATGTTGTCTGTTACCTGAACTTCTCTCCATCTCCACCACTACCATTCTCATTCAAGGAGATGTTGTGTGTTACCTGAACTTCTCTCCATCTCCACCACTACCATTCTCATTCAAGGAGATATTGTGTGTTACCTGAACTTCTCTCCATCTCCACCACTACCATTCTCATTCAAGGAGATGTTGTCTGTTACCTGAACTTCTCTCCATCTCCACCACTACCATTCTCATTCAAGGAGATGTTGTGTGTTACCTGAACTTCTCTCCATCTCCACCACTACCATTCTCATTCAAGGAGATGTTGTCTGTTACCTGAACTTCTACAACACCCTCTAAACAAGGTATCTTTCTTACCATGTTTCCTCTTTCTACTCTTATCCACAGAATAAACAGAGTAATCTTTTATAAACAAAAATCAAAACATATCACTCCTCACCAACTTTTTTTTTTACACATGGAACAAAATTGAAAACACTAACTCTGGCCTACAATGGCTCTATGAGTTCTCTCTCTCTCTCTTTTTTTTTTTCCTGTCAATGCTTTTTTCCATGTCGTCTTGTACTGTACCCCTTGTTCACCCTGTTCTAACCACAGTGGCCCCCTTTTTGTTATTGTTCCTAGAATATGACAAACAATTTCTGTTTCAAGGCAACTGTACTATCTTTCCCTCTACTTGGAATGCTCTCCTCAGACTTTAGCACGGCTGTCCCCTTCAGGTCATTCAAATCTCAACTCAAATATTCACTCCTTAGGGAGATGTCCCTTGATCATCTTTATTTAAAGCATCTCATTTCCCCATAACTCAGTATCATAGAACTCTTATTATCTTTATAATATATCTTTATGTGGATGATGTTATGTATCATACACTTTATGTCTTCCCTCCACCAGCTTTTAAGTTTCTTGATAGCAGGGGACCATTTTTCTCAAGTAAGTGGTACATAAAAGATTTAAAATATTGTCTGTATGGTCAAAATTCTATTGGTTTGACCAGTATCGAATATTTTCTTACATGTACTTATTAGAGTTACTAATAATTAAAGTGAAATATCCCAAAACACTTTCCGTATAGACAGAAAATAACTTTTTAGATTAAAATGCAATAAAGAAAAAATAGGAATGTGTACATGTAGTATATCCCCTTGTGCATATTTTCACGAATTTTCTTAGGTAAATTGCATTAAGGAGTTATGTTTTCATTTCTTAAACCTCTAGAAATATGTAAAACAGGAAAACACTCTTATTATGATGTTATTTTTATAATTTTAATTAACATATTATATGACACCGATTCAGCCTTAAGCATGTAGACAGCAAATAGACATGGAATTCCTAGTAGGTATCTATGTGCAAATCATCATCCATTAACAAAATTTGGGACTAAATATTCCTTTGCAATTCAAACCTAATTCTCTCCTCACCTCACTGGGAACCCCAGTAATTGGAGCAATTTTGATCCTCTCTGAAACTTTCCCCTTCGTTTGCCAGGAATCCACTTCCTATGTCCTTTCATCCTTCAATAGACATTTTGAACCTGTTTTTGCATACCAATTGTGTCATGCCATTTTGGCCATCCTTGAAATCTAGGATTCCTGTCATTGCTGCTCTTGGCCTTCATAACTCTGTCAAACTCCTCTGATTTATGTATTTCTTGGCAAATTTTCATTGAGTGCCTACGGCATGCAAAACACTGATGATACAGCAAGGCTATACAAATTACATACAGAAGGAGGGTTCTTGAAAGTATGTATTGATATTGCTGGCAGCTTTGGAAGAGCAGGGATTCTATCTTTCCTATCCTGCCATCCACTATTCCAGTACTTTAACAGCTGTGTGAACTAGATCTAGGCTATACCGCTATGATCTGGGCCTTCTCACTCACCTGCACTCTCGGTCACCGGCACTAGAATTGTAAACATTTAGTATGTTTTTATCTTTGGCTGGTCTGTATCTGTCTGTGGGTGAGGGTAAGTATTGTTAGCAGTTTTGTCACTTTACTTATTTTACAAGTCTGTGACTATGAAAATGATGTTAAGATGATGTTGATGAATTCTCAATATGTGCCTGAAGTGGGTTCTCAAATTTGATGCTGAAATGTTACACATTGCAATTTATTCTTTCATTCGTAAAAATATTATTGAGTGCCTATTGTGTGCCAAGCACTGTCCTATAGAAACTGATATAACTCAGTTCTCAAGGGCACTGAAGACATGGAACAGTATATGACCATAAAGGAGACTGTAAACAATTGTGTAAGTGAGACCATTTCTCAGCAGCACAATACCAGAAATTATCTCATTCTTTCCTGTTTCCTTTTATTACTGGAAATCAAATCAAGATCATTTCATATTCAAAATCCAGCAGACCATGTGCTGCTGCAAAATCCAGATGTTTCTGACTTTATTATCTGAAATTCATTTCAGTTATAATTCACTGATAAAAGTGGACACATAGTTAATGCCAGTGCATATATGCAGACAAGAAAATATAATAAACTAACAATTTGAACTGAGGAATTATTCTCTACATATTACTATTCTAAAATTATCCTTTTATTTATCTTATTTTCATCTGCAATTGTTTTTGTTTGGTTTTATACTTTATGCAGACTTGTAATAGCAATATACATTATATTTAGATACCTGGTTTACATCATATATATCGTGGTGGAATTTATTCTTTCCATTTTTTAAGAGATGATAAATCCTTTTTGAGGTACATCATGGGAACACTATTGTAGACACATGCAAATTAACTCAAAGCTTTACATAAAGCCTTATTTGTCCTGCTAAGTTTCCCCAAATCAAACTAGAACACCATTTCGAAGAGAGGAGAGTATTAGAAACTTGAAGAAAAAATCACACAAAGCTGTTACAGTGCATTACACATGGCAGACTCTCACTAAATATTTGTTGATTTGATTAAATGAAAGTTTACTTAACCTAACCAATGATATGGCTCATGTGCCTGTTATGTAGTATATATTTAAGCCACTGAGAAAAGTCACAAGAATAATGATGGCTATTTTTTTTTTCTGCACTTCAAGATACAAAGGTAGCAGGAATATTATTTGCAAGTTTTTTTTTGACACAAACTCTAAATATGGTAATACACTTACATTAACAATAACAAAATGGCTTTAGGTCAACACCAATCAGATCTTAGCATATTAGAAGAGTTTAGATTATAGCTAAGAATAAACCTGTCCTTGGAAATAGGGAATAGTCATCTCATTTCTTGGAATTATGCAAGAAATTACAATATATTACCTCTAATTAATGAGAAATTATTAACAACCCCATGGATATGCAATTCCTACTTTCAGAAGATTTTTCCAACTAGATATGTAGTTGACATATCTGTTTTTTTTTTTTTTTTTTTTTTGAGATGGATTCTTGCTCTTATTGCCCAGGTTGGAGTGCAGTGGGGCAATCTTGGCTCACTGCAACCTCTGCCTTCCCGGGTTCAAGTGATTCTCCTGTCTCAGCCTCCCAAGTAGCTGGGATTACAGGCACCCGCCACCATGTCCAGCTAATTTTTTTTGTGTGTGTGTTTTTAGTAGAGACGGGTTTTCACCATGTTGGTCAGGCTGGTCTCAAACTCCTGACCTCATGATCCACCTGCCTTGGCCTCCCAAAATGCTGGCAATACAGGCATGAGCCACCGCACCCAGCCGATATCTTTTTTTAAGAAGATTTGATCCTTTGACTAGTTTTCTCTCAGAAGAAAGCATTCTCTTGTGAAGATAAAAAATTCTTTCTTATGTCATAGGCCTGATTCTCATATATATTTACTGACGAATACCAGTCCTGCTTCTTTCCTGAACTCTAGACTTTTATAATTTTATTCATTTGCTTATTCATTTTCATCCATTTCTGCATCAAATAATTACTGAGCACCTACTGTGTGCAAGGCTTTGCCTTGGGCACTTATACATGTACTCTGCCATGTGCCATCCAAACATTACAGAAGTGTGATATTTTAGTCACCAAGTTTGTGGTAACACTGTTGCATAACAGTAAATAACTAATGCACCAACTCTTCCATTTTAGCATTTTTCATCAGCTCTACTTTTCTTCATACTTTCTTTAAATATACATGTTCCAAATTTACACACCTCACAGATCTAGTTTTCTCTTCCTAATTTTGGTGCTATTTATGTAATGCCATCATTTATTGCTTTTATCTAATAGTTTCCATTTGGATTCCTTAACAACATCTAGTCCTTTTGTTCCAACTTCTACCCTGTTTCCAGAATTGTTACTTCAAAGATCAGATTATGCCATTTCTCACCTTTAAAAAAAAACTACAATTTTCTTCCCAACTCATTTTATGAGATCAGTATTACTCTGATACCTAATCCAGACCAATGCAATGCATAAAGGGATAAGACTAGAGACCAATAAATCTCATGAACTTGGATTAGAAAACCCTTTACCTAATTTTAGAAAATAAAATCAATGTACAAAAATAATTATACAGTATGATCATGACTAAGTAGTTTCATTCCAGATTTGCAAGTCTGGTTCAATATTTTAAAATTAATATAATATACTGCATTAACAATTAAACAAAAATAATATAATCATATCAATTTATACAGAAAAAATTTTTTTAAAAATCCAACACATGTTCATGATAAAGACTCTTATCAAGTTAGGGGTAAAGAGGAATTACCTCAACTTGATACAAAAGCATCTTCAAAAAACTTCTACCTAATTTCATACTTAATGGTGAGAAAGTAAACACTTTCTCTTTAAAATTGGGAACAAGGCAAAGATGTCAACTCTCACCACTCGTACTCAACATAGCTCTAAAAGATTCTGCCATTGCAATAAGGCAAGAAAAATAAACAAAAGGCATACAAACTGGAAAGGAATAAATGAAATGATTTCTATTCACAGATAACATGATTGCCAAGGTAGAAAATCCCAAGGAATCTACAAAACAAAACAAAAACAAAATAAAATTTAAAAATCCTAAATGTAAAAAATTAGTTCAGCAGGGTTGCAGGATACAAGTTCAACATCTAAGAATCAATCATTTTTCTATATACTAACAAGGAATATTTATAAGCTGAAATGTAAAACATGGTATCTTTTACAATGACATTTAGCAAACGTGCACATCTGAATGCTAAAAATTACATATGTTAATGAAAGAAGTCAAAGAAAACATGAACAAGTGGAGAGGTGGTACACTGTGTTTATGAATTGGAAGACAACAAAGTAAGGACATTACCTTTCTCCACATTTACTTAAAGGCTTAAATTTCTATCCAAATCAAAGCAAGGTTTGCTGTAGATCAACCCTGTCCAACCCACAGGCCACAGGCCACAGGCCACAGGCAGCCCGGGACAGCTTTGAATATGGCCCAACACAAATTTATAAGCTTTTTAAAAACATTATGAGATTGGTGATTTTTTTTTTTTTTTTTTTTTTTTTTAGTTCATCAGCTATTGTTAGCATTAGTGTATTTTATGTGTGGCCCAAGACAACTCTTTCAATGTGGCCCAGGGAAGCCAAAAGATTGGACACCCCTGTTGTAGATATATATAAGCATATTCTAAAATTAATGGGAGAAAACATAGGTCCTCCAATAGCTATCACTACCCTAATAAAGCAGCATAAACTGAGAAGAATCAGTCTATCATCCTAAAGATTATTTTACAGATACATTAACCAAGACAGTGTGGTATTGGCAGAGGGATAGACACATAGATCAATGGAGCAGAACAGAGAACCCAGAAGTAGGCTCACACAAATGTACCCCACAAATTTTAGACAAAGTTGCAAGGGCAATTCAACTGAGGAAGTCTTTTCAACAAATGATGCCAGAGTAATTGGACACCCATAAACCACCTCCCAAGGATTAGCTGAGCAGTACCTCACATATCTAACCTACAATAGATCACAGCCTTCAATATACCATGCAAAACCATATTTAAAAAAAATATATATACAACTTAGGAGAAAATCTTTGAGATTTAAGACAAGGCAAAAGAGTTAATAGGCTTGATATCAAAAGAGTAATTCATAAAATGCAAAGTAAATAAATTGGAACTTATCGAAAATTTTTAAAAAGCATATTTTTCTCTCGGAAAGTTTATTTGAAGAGGATGAAAAAGCAAGCTAGAAACTGGGAGAAAATACTTGCAAACTGTATATTCAACAAATACCTGTGTATAGAATATATAAAGAATTATCAAAAATCAACAGAAGGAGGTGGAGCAAGATGATGGAATAGAAGCTTACACTGTTCATCCCCCCTGCCGAACACCACATTTTAACACCTATCTGCATGCAGGAAAGCACCATCACAAGAACCAAAAATCAGATGAGCAATCACAGTACCTAGTTTTAAATCTATATCACAGAAAGAGGCATTAAGGAGGGTAGGAGAGACAGTCTTGAATTGCTGATGCCACCCCTCCCCCATCCCCCAGCAACAGCTGTGCACTTGGGGAAGGACAGTGCAGTGACTTGGGGCCTTTACAGTGAACTCAGTGCTTCCCTGTCACAGCCGAGAATAAAGCCATGCTGGATGCAGCCAGGGCCCATGTACAAAAGAAGCATTTGGACCAGACCTAGCCAGAGGAGAATAGCCCACCCCCATCAGTCAGAACTCAAGTTTCTCAGGAAGCCTTGCCACAGTGGGCTGAAGTGTTCTTGGGTTCTAGGTAAACCTGAAAGACAGCCTAGGACACAAGGGTTGCAACTCTTAGGAAAATCCTAGTGCCGAGTTGGGCTAAGAGCCAGGGTGGCATTTGACCTAAGGAGACACCAGATAGGCAGCTGAGGGAGTTCTTGTGCCATCCCTTCCCCAACCCCAGGCAGTGATGCTCACAGCAATAAAAAAGTTACCCTTTCCTTCTACTTGAAGAGAGGAGAGGGAAGAATAAAGAGGACTTTGTCTTGCATCTTGGATACCAGCTCAGCCACAGTAGGATAGGGCACTGGGCAGAGTTGTGAGGGTCCCATTCTGAGCTCTACCTCCAAGATGACATTTCTAGATGCACCCTGGGCCAGAAGGGAACCTACTGCCTTGAAGGAAAAGACCCAGTCCTGCCAGCATTCCTCATCTGCTAACTGAAGGGCCCTTAGGCCCTAATAACCAGGAGTGACACCCAAGGAGCATTCTGTGGACCTTGGCTTCTGAAGCATGGTAGCTTCAAGTATGACCAAGCACATTCCCAGCTGAGGAAGTTATGGTCAAAGACTCCATCTGATTGAGAAAAGCACAGGAAAAAGTAAAGAGGATTTGTCTTGTACCTTAGTTACCAGCTTGTATTAGGCTGTTCTTGCGTTGCTATAAAAAAAAAAGTGTGAGACTAGGTAATTTATAAAGAAAATACAGTTTAATTGCCTCATGGTTCTGCGGACTTTACAGGAAGCATGGAGCTGGCATCTGCTTGGTTTCTGGTGAAGCCTCAGAGAGCTTTCGGTCATGGCAGACAGTGAAGAGAAAACAGGCACGTCACATAGTGAAAGCAGAAACAAGCAAGAGAGGGTTGAGGGGGAAGGTGCCTCACACTTTTAAATGACCCAGTCTTGCAAAAACTCATTCACTATCACAAAAACAGTACCAAACCGTTAGAGATCCTCCCCCATGACCCTAACATCTACCACCAAGTCCCACCTCCAACACTGAGGATTAGAATTCATCACGGGATTTGGGCGGTGACAGATATCCAAACTATATCATTCTGCCCTGGCTGCTCCTAAATCTCATTCCCTTCTCACATTAAAAAAATATAATCATGCTTTCTCAACAGTCCCTTTAAAGTCTTAACTCATTCCAGCATTAACTCAAAAGTCCCAAGTTCCAAATCTGAAGTCGTATCTGGAAATGAGTTATTTCACCTATGAGCCTATAAAATCAAAACAAGTTGTTTACTTCCAAGTTACAATGGGGGTATTAGCATTGGGTAAGGATTCTCATTCTGAAAGGGATAAATTGGATAAAAAGAAGTGGGGCGGAGGATACAGGCCCCATGCATGTCTGAATCTCAGCAGGGCAGTCATTACATATTAAATCTTCAAAATATAATCACTTTTGTTTCCATGTCCCACATCCAGGACACACTGGTGCAAGCGGTGGGCTCCCAAGGCCTGGGGCAACTCCACTCTTACAGCTTTTCAGGGTTCAGGTTCCATGGCTGCTCTTGCAGGTTGAGAGTTTGTGGCTTTTCCACACTGAGGTTGCAGGTCTGGTGGATCTACCATTCTGGGGTCTGGAGAATGGTGTCTCCCTTCTCACAGCTCCATGAGGAACTGTCCCAAATAAGGACTCTATGTGGGGGCTCCAAACCCACAAATCCCCTCTTCACAGCCTTCCCTGGGGAAGCATCAGGGAGATTTCAGTCATGATAGAAAGTGAAGAGAGAACAGGCACGTCACATAGTGAAAGCAGAAAGAAGCAAGAGAGTTCCCTTCTGCTTGGGAACTCAGGCCTTCTCATACATCCTCTGAAATTTAGGCATTGGCTGCCAAGCCTCATTCACTCTTGTCTTCTATGTACCTACAGGCTTAACACCATGTGGAAGCTGCCAAGGCTTACAGCTTGTGACCGCCAATGTGGTGGCATGAGCAGTATCTGGGGCCCTTGAGCTGAGGCTGGAGCCAGAGTTGCTGGGATGTGGGGAGCAGTCTTCCAAGGCTGTGCAGAACAGTGGGGACCTGAGCCTGGGCCATGAAACCATTCTTCCCTCATAGGCCTCCAGGTCTGTGATGGGAGTGGCTGCTGTGAAGGTCTGTGAAACACCTAGGAGGCTTTTTCCCTATTGTCTTGGATATTAGCACTTAGTTCTTTTTTATTATTCAAATTTATCTAGCAACTGGTCGCTCCATAGCTTGCTTGAATTCCTCTCCCCAAAAAGCTTTTTCTTTCTCTGCCACATGGCTAGGCTGCAAATTTTTCAAACTTTTATGCTCTGCTTCTCTTCTAATTATAAGTTCCAAACTTAAGTCATTCCTCTGCTCTCACATCTGAGTGCAGGCTGTTAGAAGTTGCCAGACCACATCTTCAATGCTTTGCTGCCTAGAAATTTCTTCTATCAGATACTCTAAATTAACATTATAAAGTTCATACTTCCACAAACCCCTAGGGCATGAACAGAATGCAGCCAAGCTCTTTGTCCGTATAAAACACCTGACCTTTTCTCCAGTTCCCAATGGGTCCCTTATTTCCATCTGAGGTCTCTTCAGCCTGGACTTCACTGTCTATATCAGTATCGGCATGTTGGACACAACCATTTCAGCAGTCTTGAAGAAAATCTAAACTTTCCTTTATCTTCATGTCTGCTTCTGACCCCTCCAAACTCTTCCAAACTCTGCTCATTACCTGGTTCCAAAGTTGCTTCCTCATTTTCAGGTAACTTTATAGCAATACTCCACTACTGGTACCAATTTTTTGTATTAGGCCATTTTTGCATTGTTATAGAGAAATACCTAAGACTGGGTAATTTAAAAAGATAGGTGGTTTCACTGGCTCACAGGACCTCAGGCTTTATAGGAAGCCATGTTGCTGGCATCTGCCTGGTTTCTGGTGAAACCTCAGTGAGCTTTCAATCACGGGGCAAGGCAAAGAGGGAAAAACCATGTTACCCGGTAAAGCAGGAAAGCAGGAGCAAGTGAGAGAAAGAGTTGGGTGAAGGGGAGGTGCCACACACTTTTAAACAACCAAAGCTCATTGTCAGAGGTGTCTCAACCAGAGCGACTCCATCTTGAGTGAGGGCTAGGAAAATGAGGCTGGGACTTGCCTGGCTGCATTCTCAGAAAGTCAGGCATTCTTAGCTTCTAGATGTTTATGGTTAAGGGAACAAATTAAAAATGTTTACTCAACAGACCCAGACTTGGGAGTGTCCAGATATTCCGATATCTGGAGAACAAAGGCATTCCTCATTTTGCCTTAAAGATAATAATATCAATTCTTGCAAAATATAGTAATTAAGAAAATTTATGCTTTATCACAAACCCTCGTAGCAGAGCACAACTCCCAATATGTACAAGCATTGTACCTAGGGTGGACGCGTTCCTCCTCTTACTTTCGGGAACGTCCTACTCTGTCTATGGAGTAGCTATTGTTTCACTACTTTACTCTTAATAAACTTGCTTTTACTTTGCACTGCAGACTCTCCCTGAATTCATTCTTGCGTGAGATCCAAGAACCCACCCTTGGGGTCTTGATCAGGACCCCTTTCCTGTAACATATCTCTGGCAAACAACAGAAGGGACTATAGTGTGAAAACCCTGACCCAACAGCTACCTATGGGTAAGTGGTGAGGTCCTGTAACATCCTGAGAACTCACTCACTATCACAAAGACAGTACCAAGCCATGAAGGATCTACCCCCACTACTGAAACACATCCCATCAGGCCCCACTTCCAACATTGGAGATTACAATTCAACATGATATTTGGCTGGGGACAAATATCCAAACTATGTCACAGCTCAACCACAGTAGGGTAGAGCAACAAGCAGGCCCGTAGGGTCCACGAGTCCAAGCCTAGGCCCTTGGATAGCATTTCTGCACCTGCCCTGGGCCAGAGGGGAGCGCACTGCCTTCAAGGGTAAGTCCTAGGCCTGGCAGCATTCACCATGAGCTGACAGAAGAACTCTTGGACTTTAAGTGAACATCAGAAGTGGCCCGGCAGAAAACCTGTGGACTGGTGGTGGTAGTTGCCAAAGAGAGAGGTTCTTCTGCCTGTGAAATGTGGAGGGAAGAGCAGGAAGGACCTTGTATTGTAGCGTGAGTGTCAGCTTAGCCACAGTAGAATAGAACATCAGGTAAACTGCTGTGGTTTTTCTACTCCAATCACTGGCTCCCAGACAGCATCTCTGGACATGCCTGGGGAATGAGGGAAACTGACATCCTAAAGGCAAGGGCCGTGGGCAAGACCCAGTGTTGTGCTGGCTTCAGGTCTGACACGGTACAGTCCCAGTTGTGGTGGCCACAGTGTTGCTTGCATCACCACACTTCCAACTCCAGGTGGCTCAGCACAGAGAAAGATATGTCATTTGTTTAAGAGAAGTAAGAGAAAAGAACTAGAGTATATGCTGATAATTCAAAGAATTCTTTTGGATCTAATTTGAGACCACCAAGGTGGTACATCTATGAGTCTGCAAAAACCACAGAGATATTAGGCTTGAGGCCCAACTCCCTTCAAATACCTGGAAAACCTTCTCAAGAAGGACAGGCACAAAAAAGCCCAGGCTGTGAAGACTATAATAAATACTTAACTCTTCAATGCCCAGATACCAAGAAACAGCTTCAGGCATCAACATTCAAGGACGAGGAGGTTATAGAATATCAAGCAGACTCAACCCAAAAAAGACTACCAAAAAGCAGAGGGTCAATGAGGGAATCAAGAAGAAAATTGAAAAACGACTTGAAACAAATGATAATGAAAACACAGTATGTATCAACTTGTGGTATACAGTGAAAGCAGTACTAAGGAAATGTATAGCTATTATTGTCTACATTATAAAAGAAGAAAAACCTCAAATAAATGACCTCATGATGCATCTTAAAGAAACAGAAAAGCAAGAGCAAACTGAACCCAACGTTAAGAGAAGAAAAGAAATAATAAGGATCAGATCAGAAATAAGTAAATTTCAAATGAATAATACAACAGATCAAGGAAACGAAAGTTGGCTTTTTGAAAAGATAAACAAAATTGACAAGCCCTTAGCCAGACTAAGAAAAAAAAGAGGGAAGACTCACATAAATAAAATCAGAAATTAAAAAAGAGACATTACAACTGATACTGAAGAAACTGAAAAGATCATTAGTGGCTACTATGAGCAACAGCATGCCAATACATTGGAAAACATACAAGAAATAGACAAATTCCTAGACACATGCAACCTACCAAGATAGAACCAGAAAGAAATCCAAAACCTGAACAGACCAATAACAAGTAACCAGATTGGGTTGTTTGTAACATAAAGGATAAGTGCTTGAAGGAAGGGATACCCAATTTTCCATGATGTGATTATCATGCTTTGCATGCCACTGCCAAAATATTTCACATACCCCATAAATATATACATCTACTATGTACCCACAATAATTAAAAATTAAAAATAATTCAACAGAAAAAAAGTATTTAAAAAATGTGCCATATACATCAAACAAACATTTCACCAAAGAAGATCTATATATAGATGGCAAAAAACACAAGATGATCAAAATCTTTAGCTGTCAGGGAATTTCAAATTAAACTACAATGATATATCATAACACATTTTTCAGAATGGCCATAAAAATAGAGAAAATACCAAATGCTAGCGAGGATGTGGAATAACTGAGTCACTCATACATTGCTTCTAGAAATATAAAATGTTACAGCCACTCTGGAAAACAGTTTGGCAATTTCTTTTAAAACTAAGCATGTGAAGAGCGGCCAAGATTGCTGACTAGAAGCAGCTAATATGCATGGTTCTTACAGAGAGGAAGCGAAGGGGCGAGTAAATACAGCACCTTCAACTAAAACATCCAGGTACTCACATTTGGACTAATCAAGGAAACAACTCAAACCATGAAGAAAGGAGAAAAGCAAGGCAGGATGACAGCCCACCCAAGAGTGACACGGAGCCAAGGGAAGCTCCTCCACCCATAGAACCTGTGAGAGAATGTGTGACTCCAGGATCCCACGCTTTCCCAATAGATTTTTGCAACCTTGGGTCAGGAGATCGCCTCATGAACCCATTCCACGAGGGCCTTCAGTCTGACACACACAGCTACACGGAGTCTTCACAGAGCAGCCGCTCAGGAGTGCACAGAGATCCAGGAGCTTTAGATACCCTGGCTTTCTGGGAGTCCTAGCAAAAGTAACTGCAACTCCGGAGAAGCGGGAGGTTAGATCCCTGTCCATACTCCTAGGAAAAAGGCTGAATCCAGAGGGCTGAGCAGTGACGATCTCTGAGCCCCACTTTCATGGCACCTCACAGGATAAGAACCACTGGCTTGGAATTCCAGCCAGCAACCAGTAGCAGTGTTGCACCTTCCTGGGACAAAGCTGCTGGGGAGAGGGGCAGACCACCACCTCTGCTGTTTGGGAGAGTCCTAACCAACTGGCGGTGAAAGCGATCCCCCAGCATAGCACAGCTACTCTACAAAAACGTGGTGAGACTACTTCTTTAAGTGAGTCCCTGATCCCGTTCCTCCTCACTGGGCAGAACATCCCAAACAGAGCCTCCGGCCACCCTACCAGTGTTCTCCACCCGTCGGTTGTATGAAAACTCCGTGGAACAGAGCTCAGAATTGTATCAGACGGCGGGCTGCCAGGTTTGCTGTTTGGGTGACTTAGCTGTTCTAGCCTTTGGGCTCTGGAGAGTCCAAGCAGATTGGGGGCAGAAGTGGTACCCCAGCACAGCAAAACTGCCCTATGAAACGTGGCCAGACTGCCTTTTGAAGCAGATTCCTGATCTCCTTCCTCATCATTGGGTGCAGCATCCCAACTGGGGTCTCCAGCTAACCCCACCAGTGTTCACCCGTTGACAAAGGTTTCAGGATTCCCTGGGACAGAGCTCCCAGAGGGAGGGGTGGGCTGCCATCTTGGCTGTTTGCACGACTTAACCATAACAGCCTTCTGGCTTCAGAGTTTCCGAGGCAACTGGGGGCTGACGTGGAGCCCCAGCACATCGCAGATGCTCTAAGAAAACGTGGCCAGACAATTGTGAGGAGCATCTTTGTGTTTTTCTCTGTATTCTCCAATGATCTAATGTCTTTCATTTTCTCTTGATTTTTTACACTTTTTTATTTCAAAATTTTGCCCTCAAATGTGTGGGTATTTTTAATCGTGGGTCAGACTTCTATGTGTAAACATGTATGACAGAGGGATCTCCTCTGTCGTAACATGTATGACGGAGGGACTCCATGTCTCCATGGAGAATACATCAGCAATACTCAAATTTTAAGAAACTCTGCAGGACAAATGACTCAATTTTTAAAATAAATACATTACAATAAAAATGAGATGGAAGTGAAACTTATACATTAAAGCACACGTAAGAGGTATTAGCCAACCACAGTTGCGGATCTTCTTTGGATCCTGATTCAAATAAACACTTCAAAAACATATGCCATTTGTGAGCAAAGTTTCAATTTGGATCCTAAGTGGGTATTTAATGATATTAAGGAATTATTACTTTAAAGTATGATAATCGTATTGCAGTTATGCTTATAAAAAGTGTTAACTAAATGTGATGTGGTATGGTGGAACACAAAAGTAAAAATCTAGTCGAATCCAAAGTCTGGAGTTTAGGAGTAACGTATTAATGTTAGCTTCTCAGTTTTGACAACTGCGTTACGGTAATATAAAATGTTAACAATGTAAGAAACTGAGTTAGTATACAGAAAATCTATGTACTATTTGTCATCTTTTTTTGTAAATCAAAAATTATTGCAAAATAAAAAAGTTTACTAAGAAAAGGAGGGTTTATCTCCATAAAGGCATTTACTGAGACACTTATGAGTAACATTATACGATTTAGAGATTTTTCTTCAAAATACCATGTGGGGCAGAGAAATAGGTGAGATTATAGATTAAACAAGATTGGTCATAGACTGTTATGCATTGAAGCTGCGTTATGGTTGCATTTGAGTTCATTCTATTATTCTCTTTACTTTTGTGTATGTTTAAAGGGTTCCATAATAAAAATAAAATTTGAAGTTATATACGTTAATTTATATAACTTTAAGTTACATACATAATTATAGTTATACATTATATAACTACAATTATTTAAATCAATACGAGCCTTTCCAAAAGGGAAATGTACAAATTTCCAAAAGGGTTGTATCGATTTACATCCTTTACACTTTCCTTTAGAAAATAGCATCTACTGGCTGGGAATCTGGTAATGGCTGACTAATTCACATCAACTTGCCATCTGAGAACAATTACAAGGGTGTTGAAACGGAGGACATTTTAAAGATCCTAAGAGGCTACTTTGAAAAACCCTGTGCAAATAATTCGAAAAACTAGATTATGTGGGTATGTTTCTAGGAAAATAAAAGTTTTTAAAATTGGTCTCAGTAGGAACAGAAAATCTAAACAAACCAACTACCACAGAGGAAATGGAGAAAGTATCAAAAGAGTTTCTCCAGCATGAAAACAAGATGTTTTTACAGGGAAATTCTATCAAACATTTAATGGTTAGATTATTCCAACATTATTAAAAATATTCCAGAGTTCATAAAAGAAGAAAAACTTCCAAATTTGTTTTCTGATGTGTTTTAACATTAGCCAGGCAAATAACACAACAAAGAATTCACTAGTTCTGTACATTAAAAAAATACATCATTTCCAAACAGGTATTACTGCAGATATGCAAATCTATTAATAATTCAATATTGGAAAATACAGTAAGAGAACACAGCATTTTAAAACAGCTAATGAAAAAAATATATAATCACCATAGATACATGAATGGTTTTGATACACCCATTCATTTTGAAAGCTGTCAGTAAAAGAGCAATGGATGGGATTGCAATAAAAAAGATGAGATAGAAGGGAAACCTATACATTAACCTATATATTTTCATATGTATCAACGATACCTATGTGTATATATACATACACAGACATGCATATATGTATATATGTGTATATATATACGTGTGTGTGCATAACACTCATATAATACATGTACATATACATATTTGTCCAACATCTTACTTATCATTGGGGAAAAAAATCAGAAACATTTTCACTAAAGTCAGGAAGAAGATGAGAAGCCCACTATCTACACTACTATTTAACATTGTTTTTGATACTTAGTAATTTAGGAATATGTTTTAAAGTTTCCAGATGGATTATTTTCTGATGTGTTATTGATTTCTAATTCTATTGCATTATGGTGAGAGAATTATGATATATAATATATATATATTTTTTAATTTATTAGGGTTTTCTTTTTGGCTTCAGATATAGTCAGTTGTAGACAATGTCTACATTAGTTGAAAGTAAAGTGAACTCCTGTTAATGGAGTTCTAAGTGCTATATATAAATGAATTTCTACTCTATTGATAACATAGCTTAGGTCTTTTATGTTACTTAGTAAGTATAAGCAGTCTCGAACTCCTGACCTTAAGTGATCCGCCTGCCTCGGCCTCCCAAAGTGCTGGAATTACAGGCATGAGCCACCTCGCCTGGCCTGCAATTTAATCTTATTAATTAATTTTTCCTTTGGGATTTTATTGTATGTATATTTTCAGTAGCAAAATTTTATATCAGAAGACAATGGAGCAACTAATTTTAAAAACTCAAGAAATATGAATCAAGAATTTTATATCGAGTCAAAGGAAACAGAAGAAAGTGAAGGGCTCTTTGCTAAGCATATTTCCTAATACCTAAGAAAAGGCAAATCCTGAAGTAGCTTGGGAAATGTGCAAACAGCAGCTGAAACTAGAAGGGATTTTTGCACAATCCACTTTGTGGGTAAGTTCAAGGAGCTTGTTTTAAGGTCAGAAATGAATAAAGCAGTCAGGGTCCTATTAACTCTCCAAACTAACCAGCTGAACTTTCTTCTGAATCTTTTTTATCTTTTTCTTTGCTTCTTTTTAAAGTTTATTCTTTTCAAATTTTATTTTCCTTCAGAAGCATTATTCCATGTTTAATTAATCTTGTAATCCTTTTAGTATAATCTTTATTTCTAAAATTACTTAATAATTATTTTCATGGTATAATCACATCATTCTAAATTTGTGCAATTCACATTTACATTATGTATCTTATATTATTTTGTTAATTCCTTTTACCTTGTTTTGAAATCTTAGGTAACATATTTGTTTTGTGGATGTGCCTTTCTATGAAAGCTTTTATTGCCTATACTGATATTATTCTGTTTATGTATCACACATAAATGTATTATTCTATTCTTATTATTTTTTTTGTTTTTGAGACAGAGTCTCACTCTGTCACCCAGGCTAGAGTGCAGTGGCACCATCTCGGCTCACTGCAACCTCCCCCTCCTGGGTTCAAGCGAATTCTCCTGCCTCAGCCTCCCAAGTAGCTGGGATTACAGGCATGTGCTACCACGCCCAGCTAATTTTAGTATTTCTAGTAGAGACGGGGTTTTGCCGTATTGGCCAGGCTGGTCTCAATCTCCTGACCTCAGGTGATCCACTCACCTTGGCCTCCCCAAGTGCCAGGATTACAGGCGTGAGCCACTGCGCCCAGCCTCTATTTTTAAATAATACATTCCTGTAATATTCTCTCATGATAATCTGCTGTTTTGTTTTTATGTGGAATTCATTTTCTTAAACTTTTAGGAAGGTGGCGTAGATTAGATTTTCTGGCTTCATGGCTATAAAGTTCCCTTTCTTTGATTTTTGCAATCTATTCCAAAAAAATGACCATATACTTACTGTGATCTCCTGGCTCTCTTCCCTCACTGCTATATTAACTACCTGCTTCCTTTGTCTCTGGAGTCCCTGTTTTTCTGGATTGGGATACTACTGCCAGGGATTGCTCTTCAATCTAGGGTTTTGGACCGATTGATACATTGTGGATGTATTTTTAAGTTATATCCAGCAAGATTTACTAATAATTAACAGAAGAGAAATCTTAAATTACAAATGTAGGAATATACAGAAATAATTATTTGAGCAACATGGAAAAACAGATTATAATTAAAAATAAAACACTACCATTTGGGAACTTTTTAAAAAAAACCTGCTAATCATTAGGTATAGGGTGTAAAAGAAAGAGAGGATTAATGATGATGCCAAGGGATTTGTCCTGAGCAGTGGAAAGACTGTTTCCTTTAACGAGTGTGAGGGAGGTGAATTGAGGAGCAAGTTGGAGTAGAGGAGGGGCAGGGATTGAACGTGAAAATTTAGGCATGTAAATTTTGAGCAATACATTAGACATGAAAGTGGAGATACCAA
This sequence comes from Homo sapiens, assembly GCF_000001405.40. NCBI lineage: Eukaryota > Metazoa > Chordata > Mammalia > Primates > Hominidae > Homo > Homo sapiens. The sequence continues at coordinate 147,317,166 of NC_000023.11, forward strand.
GTTAAAAACGTACATGAAATTCAGAGAAGCTATCAAGGCTGAAGATATACCTTTATTTAGGCAATGTAAATAAATATATGGCCTTAAAATTATGATACTAGATGAAATCACCAAGGGGATAAAAGGAACGTATGCTAATAAGAGATCTAAGGAGTAATCTTGAGTCTCTCCAGATAAAGAAAACTAAGAAGGAGGGCTAGTGAAACAAGGGAAAATTAAGAGTAAGATGCCTTGGAATGCCTTAGAAGTTAATGGAAGAAAATGTTTCCAGGAGGAGGAAGTAATCACCACCTATGACGAATGCTACTGATACCTACATCAAATAAAATGTACTAGTCCATCTCACCAAGGTACAGATGGAGAAACTGAACCCCAGAGAATGCACGGAATTGTTTCGACATCTCAGAGCTAAAGGCAGGCCTAGTGTTAGCACTCATGTCACCTTAACCCCAATCTCATGCTGTTGTTGTTTCTCACTAATCTTCAGTATTCAATCCAGCAGCTTTCCATCCCAAGAAGTTTTGAATTATATTAACAAGTTGATATATCCAAAACTATAAAATCTTTAGTCAATATGAATGATTATGTCTACTTTTAACACTGTTAATTTAAATCTAGAGAGGGCTTTCATAAAAAGCCCTCCTTAAGAAGTAGAAAGATACTTACCAGATCATCTGAAATCTCGTAACACCAGATAGCCAGAAGACCAGGGTACAGTGGATTACAATAAGCAATTCTAAAAATAAGAAGATAAAACATTAATTAACCACATTACATCTTTTTTTTTGAGCAGGGAGTATCATCTGGTGATACTGTCAAGACGGTGGAAGTAGGTGCTAGTGTCAGCTCTAACATAGTTATCCACCTATAGACACCAAGGGGATAGTGCTCCAACATAGATTTTGTAATTCTAACATGAAAAATAATAAAGTTGGCCTGGCACAGTGGCTCACGCCTGTAATCCTAGCACTTTGGGAGGCCAAGATGAGCAGATCACTTGAGGTCAGGAGTTCGAGACCAGCCTGGTCAACATGGTGAAACTCCATCTCTACCAAAAATACTAAAATTAGCAGGGCATGGTGGTGTGTGCCTGTAATCCCAGCTACTGGGAAGGCTGAGGCAGGAGAACCACTTGAATCCGGGAGGTGGAGGTTGCAGTGAGCCAAGATTGCACGACTGCGCTCCAGCCTGGGTGACAGAGCAAGACGACGTCTCAAAAAAAAAAAAAAAAAAAAAAAGGAAAAAAGAAAAATAACAAAGTTAGTGAAAACAATTGCGTCTATTGAAACCCTTCCCAACAGGGCTGGGATTAGTCAGTAATGTTTTACTAAAAAAGACTTGAAAATCTCTGGACCCATTTGAAATACTTCACTATTCTGTTGATGTAATTAGCCTTTCTATTACATTTGAATTGGCCTTTACACAGTGATATATATTTTTTTTTTACCTTGGCTGTCTCATGCAAGTTACATACCTCTCTGAGCTTCAGGGCATTTTTTTCTACTTTGGAAAAAATAAGATTAATAATACAAAAAATGCAGAGACTATAACAGCAAAGACTTAGGTTAATATTTTTCCATACTTATGTACTTATGTCATATTTAACAAATACAAGCCACTAAATATTTCTGATAAAATGTGTCTCTATAATTCCTTCCTCAATCCCATTCTCCTACCTTAGCTTCTCCCTGGAGGAAACAACTGAATTTTATGTTTATCCTACCAATCCATATATACACACACACATATATATATATTACTATCACACATATTTTTAAGTTACCCAAATGCATCTATACTATGTATATCTTCCTACAAATTACTTATTATACTCAAAATTAGATTTTAGAAATCTATCATTATTGATACATAGATCTAATTCATTATCTTTAACTGCTACATAACATCATACCTCATAAATATACCAAATTTTCTCTGTCCATTTTCCTATTGATGGACATTTAAATCATGTCCAATCTTTAACTATTACATACTGCACTGCAGTGAACTTACGACGTGTACCTCTTTGCATTCAAATAGGAAAACTTCCATAGAAATCATATCTAGAAGTAGAATTGCTGGGTTTCAGTGTACGCACATATTTAGATTTTCTAGCTATTTCCAAATTGTCCTCTGCAAAACAATTGGCCTAATTTATGCCCTTATCAGAAGTATACACCGGTTATTGACAGATTTTATAGTTTTGCCAACATGAAAACTATAAAATGGTATTTCACTGATGTTTATATTTTCATTTCCCTGATTAACATACAGGTATAGCATCTTTTCACATATTTATTCCACATTCAATTTTCTCTATTGTAAATTACCTATTTGTGTTTAGTGTCTATTTTTGTCTTGAATTGTTCATACTCTTCTTATTCACTTGTAGAACGTTTTCATATATTTTCATTTCTAGTCCCGTCTTCATTGCATATATTGGAAATATCTTCTAATCTGTCATATGTCTTTCGACTTTTTCATGGTGTCTTCTTTTTGTCATATTAACGTTTTAAATTTTGATGTAGTATTTTTTAAAAGAAATATTTTAAAATAAACACTCTTTACCCACAAGATCATAACCCTTTCATATAGATATTTTAAACATATTTAATCTTTTGTGGTTCACATTTAGATTTTAAAGCCTTTGAAATTTTTTAAAAAATATATGGTGGGTTTGAAGTAGGAATTTAGGGTTTTGTTTTTCACTTCTCTGGTAACCAATTGTCCAAAAACACCACATGTTAAATAGTCATTTTTTCCCTACTAATCTCTAATACTAACTCTGATACACACCAAGTTTCCTTATATGTGTCGCTGATGAATTTTCTTTGTAAAGTATAAAACTGCGACATTAACATATTGAGCTGCTTTATTATAGGGAGTTCTTAAAAGGTCTGTGTGGGCCAAGAGTGAGAAATTGAAACACTTCCATACAATCCTCTGGATCTGTCTTTTGATATTCACCCTCTGGTTTCAAGATATCTGTCAAGTTAATAGAAGACGGCATTGTAAGATGATGAGAACCAATTTCAAGGTAGGTGGCAATAAGAGATGCCCCTTATACTGTGGAGAGGCTGGGAACACTCATTAAAGAGATGAACTATAATTAAATTATAAACCAAACGAAGGTCGCTCACCAGCAGTGTATCTTTGAGCAAAGTACTTGATATTTCTGTCATCTATTAAATGGTCATAATAATGCCTGTATGATAGGATGGTTATGAGAAATAAATAAGACGTGTGCAAAATGCTGACGATGGTACCTTACATATAACAACAGTTTAGTAAATGTCTGTTTTCCCCTAACAATGGATGAATGCTTACAGTTGCATTTAACAATTAATTCTGTTCACTGAATTTCGTAACTATCTCTCCATTCTTGTGACCGTGTCCACTCCCCCACCTGCTGAGAAAGTTCTGACATGTAATGATTTTAGGTAACCAAGGGGTGGACTTACCATCAAATGCTGTCCACAGAAGTATTCTTGGAACAGAAATGTGTCTCAATTAGCTTTTCCAAGCCAGGATTCACTCTTCACCCTCAGGAGGTACAGCAGGATGCTAGTCGTATAATGGTTCTCATACATTGGCATCTATCAGAATCTCCTGAAGGGCTTGTTGAACACAAATTGCTGAACCCTGCCTCGGATTTTCTGGTTCTGTAGGTCTAGTTTGAGATCCAGGAGTTTTCCTCTCAATAACAAGTCCCCAGGGGATGTTGGTGCTGCTAGTTGAGGAGACCACACTCTGAGAACCACTACTCTATAGTGTCACTACATGTGTGTTATTGCTATTGAACACCTCCTTGCTAATGTTCTCTTTGAAAATATGCTGCACTGGAGAAATTTAGTTACGATTCGCCATGCAATGACCATTCATACAAATCTAGAGAAGATTTTAGAAGAACGTATTGTACTATAATTACGTTATTTGAAGTCAATTTGGGACACTGGTTGTAAAAAGTAGCTATTTAAAATTGTGGAGCAAATAAATCATTGGGTTTCCAACAGGGCAGAAAATGTAGATTCCTGTAAAACTACATTTGTTCAATTCATTTGTTAAGAGAAGCTACAGTGACAAATTCAATGTGCTGTATATTTTACTTACAGCGAGCTCATTAATACTAAATCTTCAATGGAATCATACAAGCAAAACAACTGGATTAGAAGTAATGTCTGCTGGGACCAGTTTTAGATAATGGAAAACAAAAAGAAAATCTGCTTCTGATAAAACATAAAACGCTGAGATCTAATCAGTCTAAGATACAGCTTGGACATAGTTGAAATAACATTGCACATATAATCAAAGAACTGTTTCTAATTGCTAAATATTTCATTAAATAGCCATATAAACTTGAACAAGCATCGTAACCTGAAAACTCTGATTTTCAGTTTTCTTATCTGTAAAGTGGGAATGATAATGCTTAACTTATAAGATTTTTGTAAATAATATATATAAATCCACTTCCTAAACAATATATATAAATCTGCTTCATAAACTATAAAATGCTATCAATATTTAAGTATCATGTGTTAATCAACAACGTATTAAGGCACACAGCAAGTTACTAATACTTGAAAGTTTCTCCTCCACAAAACTAACTGAAAGGAGCAAAGCGGACATCCCTAACTCTCCCTAGATTAGTGTTGGCAGATTCGGCAAATGAAAATACAGAATGCACAAACACGAATTTCAGATGAACAACAAATAATTTTTAGTGTATTTCACATGCAATAGTTGGGATATACATATAACGAACATTTTATTCACAGTTTACCTCGAATTCAAATTTAACCCTATATCCTGTGATTTATCTGGTAACTCTATCCAAGAAACTTACATTCCTAGAAATGACTCAATATTTCCACTTTCCTTAAACCTTTACACCGTTCTGCAACTCGTGGCCCCTAACTCTTGAAAGTGAACAATCTCTTCTCCTACTTCATGGAAAAAATGTTCCTTAGCCTAGGTCAGTACACACAGCACTTATACCACCTCAATAGGCATGTCTAATTTCCAGAGTTCTTCATTTGCCCCTACTGCTACTGGGAATCTTTCATTTTCAGCTGCCTCACATATGATGACATACTCAACTAATTTTGTTCCTCACAGCCATATTGTGAGCCCTTCAGGCAGGTGTTATACTATGCTGATTGAAACTGTAAAGAAGCTAAAACTCTGAAAATTAAGTGACGTAGGCAATATGGGGCTGAGCAAGAACTAAATGCCTTTTCTTGAATCTTTACCCAGGCCTCATTCCCTTCTACACACGTTGCAACCCCAACCCCTGATACCCTGATCACAGCCACCAACAGAAGGAAGAGGAAAAAAGGAGTTATCTGGTCACACGGGTAGAAGTGAATTAAGAAGTCGATAGGCATTACTATGTATAAGTGAGAACTAATTGAATCAAGAAATTGATGACACCTGATATAATGGCTGAAGGTAAAACAAAGCCATCCATTCTAGTTGCTGCATCCTGAAGATTCCAAGCTCCAGGTGAGGGCATCCAAGCTCTTCCATGACTCATTAAGCATACTCGACTTGTTCATATGGGAAGTTCATCCATGCATGCAGAAGAAAAAACAACTAACAGCAGGGTTTTCAGTACTCAGCAGGGTAAAAAGTTGTTATATTTGTGCTGCCAAAGCTTTTCTGGTTGTTGTTTACTCAGTTTGGAATTTTTAGTTACCCTTGTACATGAAAAAAAGAAACTAAAAAGCCCTGTGGATTTCAAGCTATGGTGGAGTGTTCCACAGGGAAGTCTCAAGTACATGCTTGATTGATTGTCATTGTCTTTAGTACTATTTGTTTTTCTTTAAAATTTTAATTATTATGAATATATAATAATTATACACACTTATGGAGTACAGGTGATATTCATACAATGATCTCATGAAAGATACCTCCTCACGCCTTAGGAGAGCCAATACTGTCAATACCAATACCTCCTAAAGCTGTATTTTTTCTTTAATTTCTCTTAAGTTCTAATAAGGCAAATACTCGAAGTCTAGTTCATATCTGAATGGAGAGCTGTGTAAAGAGCATACAAATCCTACAGAATAATGATTTTCTAACTTACTGGCATATTGAAATAAGTTGTGTCAGAGGCATTTCAACCAGAGCAACTCCATCTTGGGTAGGGGCTGAGTGAAATAAGGCTGAGACCTGCTGGGCTGCATTCCCAGTAGGTCACACATTCTTCTCTTTTTCTTTTTTGAGATGGAGTTTCACTCTTGTTACCTAGGCTGGAGTGCAATGGCACGATCTCGGCTCACTGCAACCTCCACCTCCCGGGTTCAAGCGATTCTCCTGCCTCAGCCTCCCGAGTAGCTGGGATTACAGGCACCTGCCACCACGCCCAGCTAATATTTTGTATTTTTAGTAGAAATGGGGTTTCACTATGTTGGCCAAGCTGATCTTGAACTCCTAACCTCAGTCGATCCACCCACCTTGGCCTCCCAAAGTGCTAGGATTACAGGTGTGAGCCACCGCACCTATCCCTACACATTCTTAGTCACAGGACAAGATAGGAGGTTGGCACAAAATACAGATCACAAAGACCCTGCTGATAAAACAGGATTCAGTAAAGAAGCTGGCCAAAACCCAGCAAAATCAACATGGTGATGAAAGTGACCTTTAGTTGTCCTCACTGCTCATTATATGTTAATTACAATCATTAGCATATGATAAAAGACACTCCCACCAGTGCCATGATAGTTTACAAATGCCACGGCAACGTTCAGAAGTTACCTTATATGGTCTAAAAAGGGGAGGAACCCTCAGTTCAGGGAATTGCCTGCCCCTTTCCCAGAAAACTCATTGAATAATTCACCCCCTGTTGAGCACATAATCAAGAAATAACTATAAGTATACTCAGTCGAGCAGCCCATGCTGCAGGCCTGCCTGTGGAGTAGCCACTCTATTCCTTTACTTTCTTAAGAAACTTGCTTTCAGCTTTACTCTATGGACTCACAGTGAATTCTTTGTGAGGCCCAAGAACCCTCTTTCTTAGGGTCTGGATTGGGACCCCTTTCCAGTAACAGCTGGGGAGCTTTAAGACTGCTCAACCTCACCCCCTCCACCAGACCCCTTTTACGTGGGATGTAGTCTGGTCACGAACATATTTACCTAAAGGCTCGCTGTGTCATTAAAACATGCAGACAAGTTTGAGTACCATTCATTGAAGAAATCTTGGCTGCAAATTGAAATAATTGAGAAAGCTTTTAAAAACTCCTCAATGCCCAAGACAGATTTCAAACCAATTAATTAAAAATATCTGAGGGTGGGACCCACGCATAGAATTTAAAGCTTTCTAGGTAATTCTGATGGGAAGCTAGGGTTGAGAATCACTGTTTTGGCTTTAGTGCCTTTTCATGCCATTTTCTTTGCACTTAAGATGAGAGGACTATAGAGGACAACCATTTGTTGACCTATTTAACTCATTTTTGACTGAACACAGTGATTTCTGATTCACGTGGAGTGCTCAAAAAGTATTTAATGTATAACTGTATTTGAAGATCTTACCATATTGAGGGAACAGTAAGTTTACTATATAAATATACTATCCTGAAATCATGACTGATAAAATATCATATATTATATATATACATATGTTTTTACATATCATGTATACAATATGTATTGGTAGATACTAATAAAATTAGTTATAAGTTTATGATGTTAACGTAATGCATTTATTCTGCAACTCTAAATTTTACTTATCATACTGCTAAGGATTAAGTGGGGGTGCTCATATTTACCTTCCATATTTTCACCCAGCAGTCAGTGATCCTCTACTTTTGTCATTAGTCTAGAATTGTAAGATTTAGCAGCAAAAGAAAAAGAAAAGAAAAGACTCTCAATTATATTTTAATTCTAAATGAACAACAAATAATTATTAGTAGCAAAAGTACGCTCTGTGAAATATTTGGGGCATATTTATACTCAAAAAACACAAAATGAAAACTAAAACAAAAGCAACTATTGTTTCTTTGAAATTCAAATGTAACTGGACATACTATATTTTAATCCTGCAACTTGACACTGTTGCCCATGCAAGTATCTTTAAACTAAAAAGCAAAAAAGTAAAAATAATGATAAACATTAAATAATGGTTACAATACTGATTAGATGTTCTATTTTTTTCTTTTTCTCTTATATCCTTAGATGTTATCTTTTAACATTCATCTTGAAGTCTATAATAAAAATAAGAATTTTATTTATGGACTTATATTTTAAATTCCATGTCTAATGATTGTATAATCACATCGAGCACAAAGCTTCTAGTTTAGGACACAAAGGTTCCACATTCAAAAAACACACTAAAGAGCAATATGAAAGCATATCAAAGTATAAATCTCACAGGCAAAGGTAAATATATTATCAAATAATACAGAACAATATAACATTACAATAGTGGTATGCAAATTATCAATAACCTTAACATAAAAATTTTTTAAATATTAAGAATAACTGTAACCACAAAAAATTAGTAATAGATTCACACTTCTTTCAATGTACTTGATACATATATGTTGAAATATAGTTCTTATTTTAAAATGCCATTGATATGGGCAAATCAAAAATATAAGCTATTACTTTAATAACTTGCTAAATATAAAGAGGACTTACTAACACATTTGAGAAAAGAGGTTAGGCAAACCACTTGTTTTTGAAATGTTTCCAATTCCATAAGAGACTACATGAGAATACGGATAGGCTGCCCCAGGATTAACTACATCAGTGTTTGGGTCTTTGGATTGGCAAAGTCAGTATCACAGGAGAACTTGTTAGAAATGCAAATTCTTAGGTGTCCACCTAGACATACTAAATCGGAAATTCTGACCCAGAAGAGAGTGCTTTAAAAAGGAGATTCTGTTGTACATTACAGTTTGAAAACAAAGGTTTTAATCCTGCCTCTGTCATCACCAAGCTGAGTAATTCACACAAATCACATCCTTATGGAATTTCAAGTCCATCATGTCTAAAAGAAGATAGATGTTATTTATCTTGCAAACAGCATAGAGATGATGAACATGAAAGCACTTTGTAAACCTAATATACCATGGAAACATGAGCAACCTATTATCTATAGCATGTGGAAATATTTTTAAGTTTTTTAAAACCCGTAATAACATGTATTCAATGTGTGATAAAGGAAGTATGCATGTTTGTTCTTATCATTATTTTGGAACATTTTAATTATCAAAGAATAGATAATGAAAGAAAAACATATTCAAGATTAAAATGACCTTGGGACCTCAGCTGTTGATTCTATTTGCTCAAAGCATCCAATTTAATTGTAACTGTTTTACCCAGGCTATTATTACATATTGCTGTTTCAAATAGAACAACTGTAATGAGGACTTTTCCTACATGTGAATGTTTAATGGGAGAGCCTACAGAGGAGATCAGGTTTACTGGATTCAAGGACTGACTCTGCTGGTTCCCTCACTATGATTTAGGCAATTACCTGCCCCTCTATGTATGCTGAAGGGTTTTACGAATTGAGCTCTGTGAATTTTTTAAGTTCTAAATACTATTATGGGTATATTTGAACATCTTTTAAAAACATTTTCATGAAAACAAAGTAGTTGTGCATATTTATGGGGTACATGTGATATTTTGATATAAGCATAAATGTGTAATGATCAAATCTGGGTAATTGGATATTCATCACTTCAAACATTTATCATTTCATTGTGTTGGACCTCTTCCATTTACAGCACCTCAGAGAAAATTATTCTGTTCCCATTCATATTACATTAAACTTTTAAGGATTCTAAGATGATATATCTTTCTTAGAAACTTCAGGGGATTGTTACAGAAAAACAAATCTCTAAATGCATTTATATATCTTTTTTTCATTTTCAGTTTATTCAGATCAAACACTTTATCTGACCAAATTTATAAGACAAAGACTTAGAAAAATGAGCTCTGAGCTTAGCACACTGCAGCTGTGTCTCTGCTTCCTGAAACTTAATCTCTACTCCATGGACACAAAAGATTCCATTTAGTAAGTGTATTTTATTGCCACTTAGAGGAAAAACTCCAAAGTATTATTTAGCTCTTAGAGATATGGATGAATGGTTTAAGTAGAAAACCTCAACATCAGAAGTAAACCTTTTGCAATATATACATAATCAAAAATCAATATTTTGGGCAAAACATATTGGCTCTGAACATGTAAAGCAATAAGAAAGAAAATATATTAATTAATGCATATGCATATATCCAGAATATTTTATTGACTAATAGAGAAGTATCCATTTGTTGCTCTAAAACCTTCAAGAGTCCTTGGTCTTTAGAAAACACAATATAATGTTGATATCTATATTTTAACACTTTTAAAGCACTATCGTAGGAAGGTGCATATAGTAAATTTTCTCATTAGAGAACCATTTTTTTGACCATGCGCTGTAGTTCATTTTAAACTTAAATAGGAATTATTATTAGCCTAGGTCTACAGAATGCCATTCAAAGAAATATATATATAAATATATATATACACATACATATATACATCATTATGTAAATGGACTTTCTATATTATGTTTTCACTTTTATTTAAGACTTATATCCACATTTTCTTCTAAAAATTATCCTTACTAGACAAACAGGCAATATAGGTTTATTATGTCAACTGTGTGCTTAGTTCTAGGCTAGGTGCTGTATAACATTCTCCTGCGTATGTACACCACATTTTCTTTATTCATTCATTCACTAATGAACTCTTAGGTGGACTTCATATCTTGGCTGTTGTGAATAGTGCTGCCATAAATATGCAAGTACCGATATCTCTTTGACATACTGATTTCCTTTCTTTTTGATATATACCCAGAAGTGAGACTGCTGAATCATATGGTAGTCCTATTTTAAGTTTTTTGAGAAATCTCCATATTCTTCTCCATAGAGGTTGTGCCAATTTACCTTCCCACCAACAGTGTATAAAAGTTCCCTTTTCTCCGCATCCTTGCCAGCATCTGTTACTTTTTGTGTTTTTGATAATAGTCATTCTGGCTTCTCACAGAAAAAGAATACATTGGCTGATGTTAGTCAAAAGGCTCCCTATCTGGTTACAATTCCCATTGTAAATTAATATAATTTTTCTATGGTTAAAAAAGTCCATTCAAATATAGAAATTTTAAGTATGATTGGCTGTGTTTGTGAAAAACTTTCTCTTAGAGTCTCTAGGCTATGAACAAGTCATTTGGAGCTTTTCCCCAAAATATTACTTTCTACAACTGAAAAACCTATGGCCATCATGTGAATTTTTGTTTATTGAGGCCTCATGTCTGTTTTTAGTAGATTTTGGTAAAATAAACAGAAGATTTTCCATTTTAACCATTTTTAGTGTACAATTGAGTGGCATTTTAACTATATGCACAATGATATACAATCACTACCATTATTTATTTCCAAAACTTTTTCATCACCCTAAACAAACTATGTAATAATGAAGCAATAACTTACCACTTCTCCCTGCCTCCAGCCTCTGATAACCTCTAATCTACTTCACTTCTGTGAATGTGTCTGTTCTATGTGTGAAATGTTTTTTGCAGTCATAGTTATCCGAGGATTTTTTTACAGATAAAGATTGAAACAGACTTCTTGATACAGCTCTGAATACTAATTACACATGATTGCTATTCGCCCAACACTTTCAACTGAATGTGGATATTAATACTATCATGTTACTAGAATAACAAATTCAAACTCAATATAATACAAGAAACAAAGAACAATTAAACATATCAAGTGTAATGGAATAAAGAAAAACGAGGATTTGGAAATTCACATGGAACTAGATTTTACCTGGCTCTGCAATTTACTGGTTGTGTATACACGAGCAAATTATTTAACCTCTCTGAATGTCTCTTTCATCGTCTGCATAATGAATGAAGTTGCTGATGACTGTAAAAGAGAAAATAACCAAAGTGATCTTCATGAATCAATTAGTCTAATAAGTAAGGCAGATAAGTCAGCGATAAGCTTGGTCATCCAAATCTTTCTCAATCAAGTCCAATATTGCATAGCCTTACTTGCCATTCGTTCTCTTTCAACATGCCCAGAAATTTTAGACCCAGGAGCAGGTGAGATACAGTTTCTGGGAATCCCCTTATTCCATTCTCCCCGTAAAATATATTTCACACAAACACTGAGAGTGGGATGCAGGAAAACTGGTGTGTCATTTTATTTTATCTCTGTATTTGTTTTGTGACCTTGTCTAAGTCAACCACTTTCTTCATAAAACGACCACACTGTACCACAAGTGTATTCAAATTATCGTATAAAATAACAAAAGAATAAAATGCATTGTGAAAAAAGTTTATTTTGAAGACCAAAATAAGATATATTATGTAACTGATGCAAAAAATCTAGATATATGAAGAGTTTGGTTTATAAAACAAAATTTTAAGAAATTATAACTAGTATATGTTAAAGGGATAAGAGGAGATAAAGAAGAGTTTTATAAGTTTCCAGTTTATGTTTACATTGCATTTTATTTCATTTTACAAATGTTCTTGTTAATAAGAAAATCGTATCCAGAAAACCCCAAAATATCATGGAAGTTGGTAAGATAACTGGTGTTTGTACAATGGCAACAATAGGTAGATTCTGAGCAGTGATGTTCTAGAGCCAGCTTGCATAGTCATGTGAGAACAGACTGTGCAAATCTTTTCCCAATTTCACATGCAGTGACATCATGCAGTTAGCTTGAAATTATTCATGGTGAAGTGTTCACACCAAGGAAATGGGAAAATTATAGAAATCAGGATTTTTATTTCCAGAGAGACATCAGCACATCATTCGTTCTTGACCACAGTTTCTTACACTATGGCTATAGGAAGAAGAAATGTGGAGATATACATCCTTACTGGGATTGAGACAGTAGGCAAAGTTTTCTTTAATGTGCCTAAAAATAACCAGAGTATTCATTGCAATGAAATTCCTGATTCAGTAAATCTAGCTTGGGACCTGGGATTATTTGTTTTTTATACTGTCCCCAGTGACACCTATGCTGGCCTAAGTATCACGTGAGTAGCAAGAAGCTATAGTACATCTAATTAATTTCCATCAGCGGAACAAGGCCCTCTTGGGACGGGGGGCGGGGGCTGCTTTTTTTACTATCAAAATTCTTTAGTTATTGGTGGTAAAACCAAGCTCTTGAAAACCTCGACATAAATGATTTGTGGTCATTGTTTAGGAGTAGAATAGTACCAAAGCATATTCTATTTCTTCAACAAAATAGGCAACAATTTATTCTCCCTAAGTAATAAGCTAATTATTCTACTAAAAATTAAAGAGAAATTTTATACTACTGTTCTACTGCCTGTTAAGGTCACCCTGACCAAACCGTTCCCTTCCCCTCCCACAGACCTTACAGTACAGTCCCTTGCGCTCTCCGCACAGCTACCCCAGGGCAAAAGACAACCCCGCCCCCCTTCCACTGACCCCTCCAATAACTGTTTGTCCAGACAGTTACAGGATGCAGTTAACACGTCTGCTAACCTCACATAACAAAGCTGGCAAAAAACATCTCCAGGAGGCGGTCAAGACACCTGCACCCCCGACTCAGCTCCCCAACCCTGACCCAGTCCTCCTGCACCCCCGACTTAGCTCCCCTACCCCGACCCAGTTCTGGCCCTGTAAAACCCTGCTATTGTCTGTAAGCAGGGCTGCCTCCTCTAACTGTGGTGGAGCAGCCAAGCAGCTCAATAAAGCTTGCTTGCCTGACTTTGGGTCTGCTCATCCTTTCTCTCGGCTCACCTTACACTACCCACTCTCAAAACTCACCAGTATTATAGAACAAGCAAAGCAGAGTGTGTAGTGTGTTTTACTGTGGGGGTGGGAAGTGGACGTGTCTTCAAAGCCACAATAAAATGACCACAACCACAATACAAAATTTTTGAGACATGTCTACAAAACACTATGAAACATAAAACAAAATAAGGCAGAAGACTCAAAAGTACACACTTTATACCTCAAGAAGCATTCAGTTTCTTCAAAATCACTATTACTATGTTTGTATTGAATTCAACAATACTTTTGAGTAATTAGATTCAGAGGAGTAGGCAGACAACCAGAGAAGGAGAGAATACCTGTGCAGAAACCCAGCTTCGCACTGCAGAGTGGTCTGAGAGATGGCACTGAAGAAGAAACCATACTAATATAACTTGTTTATCTATTATCTAACCTCATATCCAGCTGGAACTGTCAGAGGTGAAATGTAATAAATGACAGAGGGGAAACACTAATCACTACATCACAAAACAGAGACCCTGGAGCTTAACGGATTTACTGTGAATGATCAACAACTTGAATGCCAATAACTGAGAGAAGACATGCTACCAGGTGAAAAGGACAGACATTTGTTTTGAAAAGTTGTCCCGGAAAAGAAACACAAATTAAAGATACTGACATCCTCATATCATTATCTTTTCCCAACCCCCAAATATGGCTGGCGTCATTAAAAGATGAGTAATTATCTCAAAACAGAAAATATTAACTTATCAAAATAAATTAAAAACATTACTTTTAATTAAAAAAATAAAGGAGCAAAAGGTCAATTAATAGCACGTATCACAAGAATTCTCCAAGGAGTTAAAAAACAGATAATTATTTCTCCATAGTCTCAAAAAATTACAAAGGGCATGAGTTAGATGGCATGAAGAAGAGCTACAATAAAACAGAGGTTCAAAACTTAGATTACATGGTGATAGAGGGAGATAAAAGCTAACAGAATTCAGAAAATAAGTGGAAAAGAGAAAATTAAGCAGTAGAGATACAAGACCATATTAGAAGCAACAAAATTATACATAAGCATTACTGAGAACAGTAAGGCTTGATGGAAAGGCATGAAGAAATTACACAAAATGAAAGCAAAAGAAGGAAAAGATATTAAAATATTAAAAGTAATACCTGAAACCTAGACAAAAGATGTTCGACTCACACAGAACTGCTGTTCCAGAAGAATGAAGCAAAATACATGAAGGTTAAGTCTTTAATATAGGGATAAAAAGATATATTGTATCTCAGAAAAAAATAAAAAGGTACAGAACATTCAGCATGTGGACGTATCTGGAAAAAGTTGCTGAACTTCAAGGATAAATAAAGATACATGTGGGGAGTCAGGAAGAAAGAACAAGTCATTTACAAAGAGGGTTCTATTCTCTACTTGCCAGGACAGATTAACTGACACTAAGCTTCGTCTCCTGTTCCAAAAGAGAAACAAAATAGAAACAAAAACAGAAAACTAGAAAACTGTACAAAATATAAGAAATAATTGTTTTCAGACAATGGGCAACAAACAGTTCAGTACTGTGATCCACAAAATAAAGAAAATTAAGGGGAGCACTAAGACCACTATAGTATACCTGGAGGCATTTCTGGACCACAGAACAGTGGGGGGAGTAAAGAAACTTGTACAGTGGTCTTGCTGAGTTAAGAAAGCAAGTATTAGAGTTTGGGAAAGATGAAGCATCTAGAAATAATAAAGCAGACAACTACAGAGACAGGAGATATGCAGAAGAACTGCAGATTTCCTCATAGGAATCCCCTTGAGTTTTTGGTTGAACATTACAGTGTACCTGTGTTGCATGAAACTTTAAGATAATAGATAACAAATTCTGGAGATTGATAAATTTAACAACTTCTAGAGTTTACAAAAGACATGAACACTTTTGAATTTCAACCTGCCAGAATGGAGAGATTATGATAAACCCTCACAGCATTAAGTAGAAACCCCAGAAGGATTGTGCTTTGAATAGGTATAGAATAATCCTAGAGTAAAGTTAACTCCAAGTATAGTGTAAGAAAACCTAAACAGCAATCTCTGACACATCGAGGAAGTTTTCAAGTATAAATTACTGTCTTAAATAAACACATCAACATCAACACTCCTTTAGGAAGACATCAAAACCCAGACACACAACAATGCAAAATGGCAAAGTCTAGTATACAAGAACAAGTTTCTACACATGCTAAGAAGCAAAAAAAAAAAAAAAATGACCAGAATAAAAATAAGACAATCCACACAGAAATGAAAAACTAATGAAAACACCAGGAAAATTGATTAAAACATTTACAAGAAACTATAAGTATTTAGGGAAAAGCACTAATATAACAAGTCAAGAAATATAAGATATTAATATAAACAAAATTGAATTTCTAGAGCCCAATAAATACAATTCTTGAAATGAAAATCTCACAGAATGGACTTAAAACACACTGCAGAAAAAAAAGTAACAATATGGTGGCAACAAAAACTATTGAATCTAAACTACAGATTGAAAAAAATGTTAATACAATGAAAATATCAACAATATATAGAAAAATATGCATTTCTAACATATGCATAATTGTAGATCGAGACGAGTTAGAGGCAGAAAATTTATGTAAAGAAGTCAAGGCTAGGATGTTAGCAAAAATAGTAGAATCAGAACCTAGCAAAATGTTCTTTTCCATAAAATGAGTAAGAAAAGTTCCAAAAAAATAATGTCAGAATAAACATTTCCCAAACTCTGGAAACTAATGAAAACCTTGCAGCAATCCGGGGAGCATTTATTAAAGAAACATTTCTGAAACTCTGTAAGACTACTCCTCCATAAAAACAATAGAGACACTGTCCAAAAAAATTGACAAAAAAGCGGACAAATTCAATTGTGAATAAATCTGGAAATTAACCAAAGGCTTGCAAAAATCTGAGGAACATTCTTCAAAAAACATAGTATAATATTGGTAAGATAAGCAGTCTTTAGCATTTCTACTTGCTCTATTCCCACAGCATTTATCTCAACTGTAGGGTAGCCTTGAAAAGATCTCTATGAGAACTAACAGTCTTTGTGGGAACCAGCAGTCTTGAGGCCGCAAGAAGGAACTGAATGCGCTGGGAGCTGTAAGAACGCCCTGTTCTCAGATAATTTTTACTATTTGACATGTCTGTCAGCTCCCTGAATAACTCAATTTTCAGGATATATTCTTATTTGGCCTGTTTTAGAGCTCACTCGGTGCAAATACTAGTAACCTTAAGGTGTTAAAAAATCTATATTAATTGTTTGGCATTGCAAGGGGCTGGGCTGTCTATCCAAGTTAGAGCTAACAAAAGACTGACAAAAACAAATAAAAGTAAAAATTGCGTAATGAGGTTCCATATGGGGTCACTGAAAAGCTCTAGTATATTACTGGAGATTTCGAAGGCCATGTACATGTGCAGAGCCATGTAAATCCCCAGATGAGACATGAGAAAGGCTTAGTCTTTTACCTGTGGCTGACACTGAGGTTTTGCATAGGGAGAACTGTCAACACCAGAGCATTGAACACACGCTCCAGTACCCATAGTGACCCCCAAGGAAGGGGCAGTGAAAATTATTGGTTCATGCCATTTAAAATTTTTGCCCAATCATTGGCTCATGCCTGTAATCCCAGCACTTTGGGAGGATGAGGTGGGCGGATTGCTTGAGCTCAGGAGTTCGAGATCAGGCTGGGCAGCATGGCAAAACCCCATCTCTACGAAAAAAAAAAAAAAAAAAAAATTAGCCAGGCATGGTGGCTTGTACCTGTAGTCCCAGGTACTTGGGAGGCTGAGGTGAGAGGATCGCTTGAGCCCAGGAAGTGGAGGTGGCAGTGATCCGAGATCGCACACTGTACTCTAGCCTGGGCAACAGAGGGAGACCCTGTCTCAAAATAAATAAATAAATAAATTTTCTGCACAATCATTAGCTGACCACTAACAATTCAAGCAGAGACTTCAGTGCCTGGATATGACAAAGCATACTGATTTTATAAAATTAGTCAAGGGCAGTCACTAAACAAACAGCAACAACAAAAACAATAAATAATAACAAACAAAAACAAAAGAGGGAAAATACGATTTCGTTTTCACATATTATAATATTTAAATGTCTATGTTTTAAACAAAAATCATGAGACTCACGAAGAAAAAGAAAATACAGGCGGCCGGGCGCGGTGGTAACGCCTGTAATCCCAGCACTTTGGGAGGCTGAGGTGGGCGGATCACGAGGTCGGGAGATCAAGACCACGGTGAAACCTCGTCTCTACTAAAAATACAAAAAAAAAAAAAAATTAGCCGGGCGCGGTGGCGGGCGCCTGTAGTCCCAGCTACTCAGGAGGCTGAGGCTGGAGAATGGCGTGAACCCGGGAGGCGGAGCTTGCAGTGAGCCGAGATCGCGCCACTGCACTCCAGCCTGGGGCAACAGAGCGAGACTCCGTCTCAAAAAAAAAAAAAAAAAAGAAAAAAAGAAAATACAGCCCATAGATATGAAAACAAAATCAGTGAATAGAAACTTTCCCAGAGAAAGCCAAGACATTAAACCTACTAGACAGACTTAAAATCACCTATTATATAATGTAATTAAATAAAACCAGGGATAAATAATTGAAGTATACAATCAATGTGTCACCAAAGAGAGACTATAAAAAGATAACAATTATTTTTACAAATATAGAAATTATGGGCTTCATAACTACAATACCTAAAATAAAAATATACTAGATGGGCACAACAGTAAATTTGAACTGGCAAAATAATAAATCAGTGACCTTGAAGATGGATCAATTGCAATTAGCCAGTCTAAGAAACAGAAAAAAATCTGGTGAAAGCATAACATAGTCTCAGAAAGCTCTGAGACACCATCAATCATACACATATATGTGTACTGGGAGTGTCAGAAGAGGAGACGAGAAAGAGAGAAAATTAATAAATAATATAGGAAGCATCTGCAAATTAAAGAAGCTAAAATATGTCTAAGTAGAATAAACCCAAAGAAATCCACAACTAGGCACATCCCAGTCAAACTGATAAAAACCAATAACAGGCCAGGCGCAGTGGTTCACACCTGTAATCCCAGCACTTTGGGAGGCCAGAGTGGGTGGATCACTTGAGGCCAGGAGTTTGAGACCAGCCTGGCCAACATGGTGAAAACCTGTCTCTACTAAAAAATACAAAAATTTGCTAGGCATGGTGGCATGTGCCCATAATCCCAGCTACTCAGGAGGCTGAGGCGCAAGAATCTCTTGAACCTGGCCAGGCACGGTCGCTCATGCCTGTAATCCCAGCACTTTGGGAGGCTGAGGTGGGCGAATCACCTGAGGTCAGGAGTTTGAGACCAGCCTGGCCAACATGGTAAAACCCCATCTCTACTAAAAATACAAAAATTAGCCGGGCATGGTGGCAAACGCCTGTAATCCCAGCTGCTGGGGAGGCTGAGGCAAGAGAATCGCTTGAACTCAGGAGGCGGAGGTTGCAGTGAGCCAAGGTTACGCCACTGCACTCCAGCCTGGGGTACAAGAGCCAGACTTCATTTGAAACAAACAAACAAAAAAAGTATCTCTTGAACCTGGGAGGCGGAGGTTGCAGTGAGCCAAGATTGAGCCGTGATCAGTATGGAACGCGGTTTTGCAGTTCTTCAAAATGTTGTATATAGAAGTATTAGGCTGGTGGAAAAGTGGTTGCAGTTTTTGCCATTACTTATAATGGCAAAAAGGTTTAAAGGTTGTATACCTCTGTGTTAACATATTAACAACCACTTTTGCCATTACTTTTAATGGCAAAAACTACAATTACTTTTGCAAAAGCCTTGTACTACATGGCCCAGCAATTCTACTCCAAGGCATATAACCAAGATATTTGAAAATGTGTCTAAACAAAAAGTTTTATTTGAATGTTCATAAAAGTACTAACGATATTAGCCCAAAAGTGGAAAGAATTCACATTTCCATCAACCAATGAATGTATTAGTAAGATGTGGTATATTCATACAATGGAATATTATGCAGCCATCAAAAGGAATGAAGTACAGATTCATATCACAACATGAATGAACCCCATGCCAAGTGAAAAAAGCTAGTCACAAAAAAGAATTTTTTTATTTTATTTATATGATATATTGAAGATAGATAAGTATATATACACAGAAAGTAAATTAGTAAATAATGGAGGCTGGAGGAGTTTAGAATGGGGAGTGATTAATAATGGGTATGAAGTTTCTTTTTGGGGGTTTCTTTTTGAGGTGATGAAAATGTTCTGAAATTAGTGGTGATGTTTGCATACCTTTGTGAACATATTAACAACCAACTTTAAGCTGGTTACTTCTTTGTCACATAAATTACATCTTAATAAGGCTGTTAATTTTAAAAGCAATAAATGGAAGTGGACAATAGATTTGAACACTTTACCAAAGAAGGTCTAGAGGTGACAAATAAGCATGTGAACCACTTCTCAGAATAGTTTATTTTTAGGAAAAAGCAAATTAAAATCACAGTGAGATACCCCTACACACCTATGGAAATTAATAAATTGAAAAGACTGCCAGTATCAAGTTTTGGTGAGAATGCATAGCAAGTAGAATGTAGGAGTGCAAACATGGCACAGCATTTTTGGAAAATGGTTTGGTATATTTTTATAAAGCTAAAAATACATTCGCCACATGATCTTCCAATTATAATTGTAGGTATTTAGTCAACTGAAATTAAAACGTATGTTCACATAAAGTCATATACGTGCATGTTATTACAGTTATCTGTAATGACCACAAACCGTAAAAAATGTGTATCAAGTGGTGAATGGAAAAACACATTGTGATTTGTCTTTATAATGGAATATTACTAAAGAAGGTAGATGCAAGACACTATTATTCCATTTATATGACATTCTGGATAATGAATATTAATAGGGATGGAAATTAGATTTGTGTCTGGACATGGAAGGAGGGAATTCTCTGTAAAGGAAAAATGGAAAGTTTTCGGTGTAATGGAAATGTCCTGTATTTTGATTTTGGTGATGCTTAAATGACTGTATTAATTTTGAAGATTTATTGAACCACATACTTTAAAAAGGTGAATTTTCCTGGATGCAAATTTTACCTTCATAAACCTGATCACAAGCAAAAAATAATAATTCACAGTATAAATAAAAATGTTTATATTGAGGTTTACAAAACATATTGAAGTAAACCAGATGAAAAGAGTCGCACAAAGAAACAGAATCAGAACATAGGAGGATAGAATTGTAAGGGTCTTACATTATATGTGAAACGGTGTATTATTTAAGGTAGTCTGTAAAGATGCATATTTTAAAATCTTATAGCAACCACTAAAAAGTTAGAAAACAGAGAAAGCATGCAGTTTCCAAAATTTTCCACTACATCACACAATGACAGAATATAAGCAATAGCTACAAAGTTCTAGGGAAAGAAAAAGTGATTCAAGAATGTTATACTCAAATTGTAGCCTAAATATAAAATCTACTGAACAAAGTCTCATAATACACACTTTTAATATTAATATTATCCTTTAATTCCTTTGTCCTATTCTTTTTTTCACCCTTATAGCAATGTTACAACCTTTTATTAATTCAGCTGTCAAAACTTTCTGTGCCAAGGCTGAAGAAAATCACACAACCTCACAAATTGTTCCTGCTACAAATACACGTTCTCTATCAAAAACTTGATCTTCAGTGATCTCTACTAATGTTTCTTATGTTACCTTAACTGAGCTCTTGATCTCTCTTTTTCAGTTCTTCTGAATATTAGAACTTTAACATATCTTTACACCTCCCATCCCACCTGAAAAACAGAAGTCATCAAATGAAGCACTTTCAACTTTTACCCCTCCACATGCTAACTGACTGCACCCATACTGTCACTTTTCTTGCCCAAGATTCACTCCCATGCTTATTCTCTGTACCCCATTCAATGTAACCTCCTTACAAAACACCCTGCAAAATCACCCCTTCCCTCTTTACCTTCATCTTCTCGTATACATTGAAACGTACTTCGCTCTTTGATGAATTAAAAGTAAAAATTTAGATAAACTTCCCTTACTGCCTTGCTGTGTCTAGCTAGTGTCCTCTCTCTCTTCTCTTTTGTTGACAACTTTTCAAAATCTGTTTACAACGGCTGCGGCTTCTTCTTGACTTTTCCTTCATTCCTAAACCCACTCAGTATGGTTTCTGCCCAATCGCTCCACTAAAACAGCTCTTGCTGAATTTACCAGTGGCCTCCATGTTAAGGTCAATGGAAACTGTAGAAATGTAATAGGGTCTCGAACTCTCGGCTGCATTTTCATTTGTCATTTTACACATTTCCAATTATTATTTTAGTACATATGTTTTTTTCTTAAGAATGATGTAACATTTTTTTCAGTACTGGATTTAAACGTAAGAATTTTATGAATATAATATACCCATAAAAATTCAATCCCTTCATAATACATTTGACCAAATAATACTGCTCACAGTTCTTTCAGGTAATGTGGATTATGGTTTTGAAAACTGAAAGTTAAAAGGATTGATATTTGAAATCCTGCACCACGGCAACTTTCTGGATTTAATCCCATTGTACTGTAATTGGATGTATTTTGTATTTATTTTACTCAACGAATGAATAAAAAAAGAGGATTAAGTGTGTTCACACTCCTCTAGAAGGGCACAATGTCTCTTTTTGACCCACTTTTAGAGTGGAAATAACCTGAATTTTCACTAACATCAATTATTATTATACTAAAATTGAAACTCTTCTGTATAAATTGCATTACTGTCCATGTTATTTACCAAATTAAAATAGTTAAGAACAAGCAATCTTCATTATAAAATGAGATAATGCATATAATGATTTAAAAATACTCAAGTTTTACTTAGTAAGTTATCATTATAGTGACGATGATTTTCTGTAAAATCAAAACATTCTGTGCTAAGTTGACATGAAGAAGTCCTATTATATTGCCACTCTGGAGTAGTTCAGCTCACCTGGCTTGTCCATGCTTGGTAGAAAGATAATAAGTCCAAGTGTTTTCTAGATTCATCCAATTCAGTTTTCCCTCCTCGAGTAGTATTAGCAGTTTATTGTTCTTGTTGTTATTTGTTTTCTATTGTTGTATTCATTAAGACATTAAAGATTAATTGAAAATAACTGAATCCACACCCAATCATGAGAATAAAGGTGATCAGGATGAAGGTATAATTTCTGTTTTTCAACACCAAGTTCTCCATTCCTCAGTGTGGACAAAATCCTTAGCCAGAACAGGCATAGGAAAATGTTTCCTTGCTCGTCCTGGTTTAATTCCTCTGCATTTTATCATATTTAAGTTTATTGTCTTTTGATATGTCACTCTCACTGAGTAATCCAAAAAAACAAATTTTCATTTTCCTATCACATGAAATTTGACTAGTTTAACTCCTAGAGGAAAATTCATTTCAAAATTATAGACAATTCCTCACTATCATCCCAATGTACAAATGAATTATTTTCCAATTCTGTAAAATATTTTCAGAAGCTTACCTCTAATTGTCCAGAGATGCCTTACTATATATCACCTTCTCTTTTGTACTGCTGCAGTGGAAGAGATTTCACAGACCTCTGTTCCTTTATCAGCAAAGATAACATTTAACATTTTCCAACTGTAATGATAAATTGAATAATCAGTCTCTATCCTGAAATAACTTACACTATGATTACTCCCTATGACATTTAACCCGCCCCTCACCAAATAGTAGTAACTCTGTCAAACCATTCTATGTATAGCACCAATCATTTTCATTTTTCGTTTTGTAAGTTTATCCTTTTATGGTGAACTATATATGTATATTACACTGAGAACTAAACCATATGTCCACAGACTACCTTTTCCAATACTGTGCACCAACAAAATTGAAAGGCTTAGTGTACATTCTATCCCCTGTCCATTTTCCTGACTCTTTGCTTGTGACTACCTGTGCCATTCACCTCTACTCCTGTTCTGAATGATATAATGGAGCCAGGCAGATTTAGGTTTGAGACCCAGCTTTATTACTTACATAGATGTGTAACCTTGCACAAGTGGCCTTTCTCCCATAAACTCTATTACTCTCTCTTTCTTTCCTTTTCTTTTCGTTCATCTCTTTCTCTTTTTCTCCTTCCTTCCTTCCCTTGCCTTCCTCCCTCCCTCGTTTCCTTCCCCCCACTTTCTTTTTTCTTTTTCTTTTTCTCTCCTTCTCTCCTTCTCTTTCCTTTCTTTTCTTCCTTCCTTCCTCCTTCCCTCTCTCCTTCCTTTCCTCCCTCCCTTTCTCTTTCTCTCTTTCTCTCTTTCTTTCCTTCTTTCCTTTTGTTTTCTGTTTGAGACATGGTCTCACTCTGTTGCTCAGGCTGGAGTGCAGAAGCATGTGCAATCATGGCTCATTGCAGCCTTGACCTCCTGAGCTAAGGCAATTCTCTTGCCTCAACCCCCCAAGTAGATGGGACTACAGATTCAAGCTGCTATGCCTGGTTAATTGTTTTAAATTTTCTTTCATTTTTTGTAGAGACAGAGTCTCTCTGTCAACCTGTTGCTCAGGTTGGCCTTGAACTCCTGACCTCATGCAGTCTTCTCGCCTTGGCTTCTCAAACTGCTGGGATTATAGGCAAAAGACACCACACCTGGCTTCGATATCTTCACATGTAAAATGAAAATTATTATTGGTACCCCTCTCTAGCATTGGTGTGAAGACTGAGCAAGACTATAAATTAATCATGTAGCACAATATCTCACATATAATAGATGTCTAATAAATAGCAATGGTTGGTGTCATAGGGTGCCAGGATATAGCACTACTTCTTTTCACATGCAATTACTCAACCAATAATTGAAACAAACTAAGGAGTCAAAAGATAGGCAACAAAAAACCCTTATTACTGATAATAATAATATTGGAGAATGTGGCTGAAATGTTTGACAACAATGAGCTTTCTAATACTCTACTCTGGAATTAGGCAGACTTATTTAACTAGTCCCAGGTAGCACTGACAATTATAGGCTTCTTCCTATAAGAGGTATAATGAAAAATGTATGTCATGGAAGAAAATGGGGCAAACTGCCTTCTCTATAATCACCCTGGCTCCGAAGAAGAGTAAGAAGAGAGGGAAAAATCTATACACACCCTGTTCTTATTCCAAAATCCATTAATAAGTCACCCACCTTCCTTAAGGAAGAGTGAATAAATGGATGAGAAGATGTCCCTTTTCCTTCAAGTTCAAGGTTATATGTTATCTCTTCAGGAAATATGTTTTGACTCTACTATTGTGAAATAATTTTTAGCCTCTCTAAGCCTTCATTGGTAATTATATGTGCCTATGTTAAGTCACAGACCACATTATTCAAGAAATAATCACTAGTCTACATACCTCTATATTATTTTCACTACTGTTCATATATTTATGCAACATGGATTTATCATTCACAATGTACCTGGCAAAGTGCCAAGTGCTGGAGATGGTGAACATAACACAGTTCCTGTTCTCCTGGAGCTTAAAGGCTGCTGTGTGGTGGGGGATGGACAATAATTTCCTTGAGGATATAATCTATATCTGTTCTAATTTTTTTAAACACATGACTCTAATATTTGCTCAGTAAAATTTCATGGAATGAATGATTAATAGTTCAACATAGAAGTCACTATTTGCCTCAGTCCTCAGAGATAAAAAGAAGCAAATTTCCCCAAAGTGTCATATTTTAAATTAATAAGTTGTTCAATTTATATTTGAAATGTTTGAAATATCAGTGATCCTGCAGAACATATTCACAAACAAAATATGAAATGCTAATAAACACAACTAAAATTAATATAATAACATTTATACACAAAGAGTTTGATGTAATAATTCCTAGTCAGAACCAGCTGGTATAGTCTTACAGATTAAAACACATTAGTATCCAAATAGACAGGGAAATCATTGAATAAACCACTGCCTCACATAACTGGCAGGTGGGTCTAATATCCTGAGCAGTCTCATAATTCACAACTTGCCACACAAGTCTACAAGGTAATTATTAAAGTAAAAATCTTGCTCAATATTGCAAAAATTTAGAGTAGATCTCATGCAATATAAAAATACAATCCAAGCTCATTTATTTTCACAACAAAACATAATCTTACCACTCAGACTTTAGTGTGCACATAATAAAACGTTATTTCTTCAGCTCCACCCACATTATGAGTGCAGGAAACCAGAATTATGAGGTTACGGGGTTGTAGGTGGACAATAGGTAAAGAAAACTTCTGGAGGGAAGCGGCCAAGATAGCAGCTAGTGTCTGTGGCTCAAAAAGAGAGGAACAGAAGGCGCAATTAAATACAGCACCTTCAACTGAAACATCGAGGTACTCGCATTGGGACCAATCAAAAATCAACTAGACCCACAGAGAACAGAGAAAAGCAAGACAGGACGATGGTCCACCCAGGAATCACGTGGAGCCAAGGAACTTCCCCCGCCCAGGGAAGTGGTGAATGAATGTGCGACCCTGGGAACCCACGCTTCTCCCATGGATATCTGCAACCCTTGGGGCAAAAGATCCCTTATGACACAAGTTTACCTGTGGAACTAACCTGCCCATGTACCCC
Source organism: Homo sapiens (assembly GCF_000001405.40). Classification (NCBI taxonomy): domain Eukaryota; kingdom Metazoa; phylum Chordata; class Mammalia; order Primates; family Hominidae; genus Homo; species Homo sapiens. The sequence continues at coordinate 147,343,541 of NC_000023.11, forward strand.
TGAACTTAAAATAAATGTTAAAAAAAGAAAACTTGTGGTGAGGCTTCAAAATGTTTTTCCACCATAAATGTCTCATAGACATTCTTTTTTTGTTTTTGAGACACTCGGCACTTGGCACATTGCCAGCTACATTGTGCAGTGGTGTGATCTCAGTTCCCTGCAACCTCCACCTCCCAGGTTCAAGTGATTCTCATGCCTCAGCCTCCTGAGTAGCTGGGACTACAGGCGTGCACCGCCATACCCGGCTAATGTTTTGCATTTTTAGTACAGACGGGGTTTCACTATGTTGGTCAGGCTGATCTCGAACTCCTGACCTCAAGTGATCCACCCGCCTCGGCCTCCCAAAGTGCTGGGATTACAAGCGTGAGCCACCACGCCCGGCCACATGTCTCATACACATTCTATATTTAAAATACAGACAATAGAACTCTTGATCTGCCTCCCTTTAGAACTGGAAATCTTCCAGTGTTTTCTATTTCAGCAAAGTTTACCAATAAGATATATGACTTTAGAAACAGGCATTCGACATTTGATTTTATTACCTAAATATTATTTACATCTCTCTTTATCTGGAAATTGTGTCAAATGTGGACCTCATTCATGGGGTAATTCAGGGCTGGGAACTGATACTCCAAACTAAAAGAACTTTTTAAAGAAACCAGGAACAGAAGCCCCAACACAGCGGGGCCATAAAGGAGACGTACGGGAGAGAGAGCCAGAATAATGGGAACCCTTATTGTGTGCGTGAAATCACATAAGTGTCATGATTAACCCTAAATTATGTACATGTAATATAAATCCAAAGCAATGACGCAAAAGCAAAGAGAACTGAAATTATACCTGAACCACCCGTAAAAGTCTCAGCCTAAATCCTGAAGCAAACATCAGAAATATAATGCAGATTTTTACGACTCAATAAAGGAAAAACAAGCAACTGAATAAAAACAGGCAAAAGATTTGAACAGATGCTTCACAAAAGAAGATATACAAATGACCAATAAACACATGAAAAGATGCTAAACATTATTAGTTTTCAGGGAAATACAAAGTAAACCACAGTAATATATCACTTCACAATGGCTACAATTGAAAACTGACAATAGCAAGCTTTGCTGAAAGTGGAGAAATAGGAACTCTCACACGTTGCTGATCAAAATCACTTTGTAAAACTATTTAACAGTGTTTTATTTTTGAGACGGAGTCTTGCTCTGCTGCCCAGGCAGGAGTGCAGTGGCGTGATCTCAGCTCACTGCAGCATCTGCCTCCTGTGTTCAAGTGATTCTCCAGCCTCAGCCTCCCAAGTAGCTGGGATTACAGGCACCCGCCACCATGCCTGGCTAATTTTTCTGTTTTTAGTTGAGACGGGGTTTCACCATGTTAGTCAGGCTGGTCTTGAACTCCTGACTTCAAGTGATCTGCCTGCCTTGGCTCCCAAAACGCTGGGATTACAGGCATGAGCCACCATGCCCGGCCTGAGTGACAAAAAATTTAATACATTTTTATTTTTATTTTTAGAAAATTTGGAAAATAATACTTTAATTCCTTCGGAATTTCAATTGTTTCTCCTTCAGAAAATGTGGAGCTATGCATTTGGGAAGGGATTAAACTTGCCATTAAATGGATTGATAAAAGAATAATGGATAAAGTACAAAAATGAAAAGGAGGGGAAAAAGAGAACAGCTTCAAGCTAGATTACTGAGAAATTCAAGCAGCCTTTTTCAGTGCTTGTCAAATCTTTTCTAAGGGAAATAAAGTCTTATTGAATAGAGTCAGAAGGCAGTTTAAATCCTTGCTCTGACACTATTTATGTGACCAGCTACAAAACATTACAGACTGCATGCATATATCAAAAAAACACGTGCCCCATAAATGTGTACAACTATTGTGTCATAAAAAATAAAAATATAATGGGTGCAGCACACCAACATGGCACATGTATACACATGTAACAAACCTGCACGTTGTGCACATGTACCCTAAACTTAAAGTATAATAGTAATAAAAAAAAATACAAAATTAGCCGGGCATGGTGGCGCATGCCTGTAATCCCAGTTACTCAGGAGGCTGAGGCAGGAGAATCGCTTGAACCCAGAAGGCAGAGGTTGCAGTGAGCCGAGATCACACCACTGCACTCCAGCCTGGGCGACAGAGCGAGATTCCATCTCAAAAAAAAAAAAAAAAAAAAAAATATATATATATATATATATATAGAAAAAATAAAATGAAAATAAAAATAATAAAATAAATAAAAATTGGCCAGGAATGGTGGCTCATGCCTGTAATCCCAGCACTTTGGGAGGCCAAGGCAGGCGGATCACCTGAGGTCAGGAGTTGGAGACCAGCCCGGCCAACATGGTGAAACCCCATCTCTACTAAAAATATAAAAAGTAGCCAGGAATGGTGGTGGTTGCCTGTAATCCCAACTACTCGGGAGGCTGAGGCAGGAGAATTGCTTGGATCCAGGAGACAGAGGTTGCAGTGAGCCGACAGGGTGCCATTGCACCCCAGCCTGGGTGACAGAGTGAGACTCCGTCTCAAAAAATAATAATAATAATAAATAAATAAATAAATAAATAAATAAAAATAAATAAGGATAAAAATTAAAACTTTTAAACTATCTGCACGTTACTTTATCTCTAAAAGGGGGTTACTATATGTCTGACCTATCTCCCAAAGTTATTATGAGAACCAAAAGGATATCAAATATAAACTTGTTACTAACTGTAAATTGTAGCAAATTGTCAATTAATCCAATGACTCAAGATAACGGCATTTCGGCTGGGTGCGGTGGCTCATGCCTGTAATCCCAGCACGTCGGGAGGCCGAGGTGGGTGGATCACCTGAGGTCAGGACTTTGAGACCAGCCTGGTCAACATGGTGAAACCGCATCTCTACTAAATATACAAAAAAAAAAATAGCTGTGTCTGGTGGTGTGTGCCTGTCATCCCAGCTGCTTGGGAGGCTGAGGCAGGAGAATTGCTTGAGCCCGGGAGGTGGAGGTTGCAGTGAGCCGAGATAATGCCATTGCACTCCAGCCTGGGCAACAAGAGTGAAACTCCATCTCAAAAAAAAAAAAAAAAAAAAAAAAAAAAAAAAAAAAAAAAAGGGCCTCTTAATTACAGAACTAACATTAGATGTTCTAAATATCTGGCTCAGGGGCAAGAACATCACTAGATATACTATTATTCTGAGTACATTTTATAAATGAGGTGTTAGTAAACTCTAAAATGCCTCTACCACCTCCACCCTTGTGCTGAGAGCCGGCTCCCACTTCCTGGCTTTTCTGCTGGTGCAATTGCGAGCATATGAACATCACAAACCACTCTGGGAAAAGAAGAAAGAGCAAAGTTCTGCATTCCTTATTTAGTGCAGAAATAGGTTCAATTTTTTTTTTGTGGTTGTTATTCATAGAAGTGTAATAGGATGCAGTGTAGATTAGTTTTCTATTGCTATAACAAATGGATGAAGCTGGAAACCATCATTCTCAGCAAACTAGGACAAAAAACCAAACACCGCATGTTCTCACTCATAGGTGGGAATTGAACAATGAGAACACTTGGACACAGGAAGGGGAACATCACACACCGGGGCCTGTTGTGGGGTGGGGGGAGGGGGGAGGGATAGCATTAGGAGGTATACTTAATGTAAATGATGAGTTAATGGGTGCAGCACACCAACATGGCACATGTATACATATGTAACAAACCTGCACATTGTGCACATGTACCCTAAAACTTAAATTAAAAAAAAAAAAGAAATAACATCCAGCTATTACAATCACAATTCTGTAGGACAGAAGTTTGACAGGAATCTCGCTGTGCTAAAATCAAAATGTCAGCCAGTCATGGTGGCTCACACCTGCAATCCCAGCGCTTTGGGAGGCCGAGGTGAGCAGATCACTTGAGGCCAGGAGTTTGAGACCAGCCTGGCCTGGCCAACATGGTGAAACCCCGTCTGTACTAAAAATACAAAAAATTAGCCGAGTGTGGTGGCACGCACCTGTAATCCCAGCTACTCAGGAGGCTGAGGCATGAGAATCAACTGAACTGAGAAGGCAGAGGTTGCAGTAAGCCAGGATGGCACCACTGCACTCCAGCCTGGGGGACAGAGTGAGACTCTGTCTTAAAAAAAAAAAAAAATTAAGATGTCAACAGAACCCTGTTCATTACTTGAGGCTATGGGGAAAATTCTGCTTCCAAATTCCTTGAGGCTGTTGGCAGAATTTAGTTATTTGTGCTTATAGAACTGAATCACCAATTCAGTGCTGTCTCCTGGCTGGGAGTGGCTTTCAGCTTCAAAAGGTCAACCATACATCTTGGCTGTGGCCCCCTTCCACTATCTTTAAAGTGGATTAAGTCCTTCTCATTCTTAGAATCTCTGTGACTTCTTTAGCCTCATCTCTTCTGCCACTATTGGGAGAAAGTTCGTAGACCCAATAGGATTATCTAACCTTTCTCTTTTAATGTTTGTAAACTTAATTACATCTATGAAGTCCCTTTTGCTACATAGATTAACATATTTATAGGTTCTAGGTATTACGGTGTAGACATCTTTGGGAAGCCATTATTCTGGCTACCACATAGTCTCTGTATCATATGTTTATGAATTTTTCCAACAAATGAGACATTATTTAAAGTAAGATTATCTATATATTTGAATGGATATGTCAATATGGTATGGATGACTGTGACAACAAACAGTTCAATTCTTTCATTTATTAATACCACAAATGGCCTTTATGTCTGTGTGGAGGAAGAGGGGGAGTTTGAGAAAAGAAAGAATTAAGGGGTGAGCCAGAGCACAATGAATTATCAGTCCTCTACAGAGCACAGTGTGGAGGTTCCTCAAAAAATTAAAATAGAATTATCATATTATATTAGTCCATTTTCATGCTGCTGATAAAGACATACCTGAGACTGGGCAATTTACAAAAGAAAGAGATTTAATGGACTTACAGTTCCACCATGGCTGGGAAGCCTTCACTATCATGGTAGAAGGTGAAAGGTGAAAGGCATGGCTCATATGGTGGTAGACAAGAGAAGAGAGCTTGTGCAGGGAGACTCCCATTTTCAAAACCATCAGATCTTGTGAGACTTATTTACTATCATGAGAACAGCAGGGGAAACACCTGCCCCCATGATTCAATTACCTCCCACTGGGTCCCTCCCACAACACGTGGGAATTCAAGATGAGATTTGGGTGAGGACACAACCAAACCATATCACAAATGACATAGCGATTTCATTTATGAGTATATACCCAAAATATTTGAAATCAGAATCTTAAAGAGATATCTGCTCTCTTGTATTCATTGCAGCATTAGCATTTTTCAAAAGAGCCAAAATATGTAAACAGCATACATGAATAAAGAAAATGGGATATATATATATATATACACACACACACACATATATATATAATATATATATACACACACACATATATATTATATATATAATATATATATATATATATATATATATATATATATATATATATATATATATATATATATAATGTGATGTGAAATAAGCCAGTCACAGAAAGGCAAACACTACTTTTTCTCTATCCTTAAATCAAGATATTTTCATGTAAGCAAATACCAGTTACATTCTATATGTCCAATTTCCATTGTGTCACTTTAAAAAGTGATGAATAATTAATGTATAATTATTATTGTATTTTATTTATGGCTACAAAATGAAACTTTAAAAATACTTATATATCTCTATTCTTTCACTGTTAGTGCTTAAACTTATTCATTAACTTGTTTTTATTGCTCCTTGCAAAACTTAAATCCTACCATTTACTGATCCCACAGTTTTATTCTATTGAGCATTCAATTTAATGTATTGCTCTGGTATCTTTTTTCAAATCTTACTTCCTGCTATCCTTAAATTTATTTTTTCCTAGCTTCCTGAATTGGATGTTTATTTTCAAGTCTTCTTGTATTAAAATAAGAATATTTAAAGCTATTGATTTTTCTCTAACTACAGAATGTATCAAATGGTTTATGTTTTAAACTGCAGTGTAATTAATTCTTGTGATATCTTATGATGTCAAAGAATAAAGTTTGGGTTACTCCTTTATTCTAGGAATTACATAAAAAGCATTTCAAAATTTCCAAATGATACTGTTTAATTTTTGTCATTTTCTTATTAGAAAATATGTTGCTACTTGCATTTTCTGCATAGTTTCTGTACACTGTGTCTATTTGTGGGCTTATTCCTTTTTATCATTTTGCTGCTATGGGAAAGAGCATTTTTTGATCCATTGTATTTTCTAAATACTTACCATTTATAGGTAGGAAAACCATAGATTTTTATATACTAACTTTGTAATCAATCAACATACAAAATTCTCTTTCTCTGGCAGTTTTCCAGTTGGTTTCTATTTTGGATTTTTATATATACATGATATGTATTTCTTTTTTTTTTTTTTTTTGAGACGGAGTTTTTGCTCTTGTTGCCCAGGCTGGAGTGCAATGGCACACATCTCAGCTCACCGCAACCTTCGCCACCCGGGTTCAAGTGATTCTTCTGCCTCAGCCTCCCGAGTAGCTGGGATTACAGGCATGCGCCACCACGCCTGGCTAATTTTGTATTTTTAGTAGAGACAGGGTTTCTCCATGTTGGTCAGGCTGGTCTCAAACTCCCAACCTCAGGTGATCTGCCCGCCTTGACTTCCCAAAGTGCTGGGATTACAGGCGTGAGCCACCACACCCAGCCTACATGGTATATATTTCTATCATGTGTATATGATGATTATTTTCTACTCTCTTTTTTAATATGTCTATTTATTTTATTCTCTTATCTATTTGCTATTTCAAAAACATGATAGCTGTCATTATTGTCTCATTTCTGATTTTAGTGAGAACATTTCCAGTATTTCACATTGCACAATTCAGCATATTAGGGAGTGTCCATCTATTTCTATGTCACAACCAATGAAAAAAAATGTGAACTGACCTATTAGTATAAATTACATAAATATGTTAACGCTTTCTCAGAATTGAATAATCCTAGTTTTGGTATATTAATCTTTTAATGACATTGGATTGTGCTACAAATACTTTATTTAGGATTTATACATTAATATCTTCTGGGATTTTCTTTTTGTTAGCTTTTTTTGGGGACATTCTCAGCATTTTGACAATTACTAAAGAAATTGGCAGCTCTCCTTCCACTTTTAATGCTTTAGGACAGTTTAAATAGCATTAGAACTTTCAGACACTTACCTATTTGGAGTAATTCACCATGAAGTCAACTCCTCAATTAAGGGGACAAATTTAAGGGGTGGGAAATATTTCTTGAGATAGATTCTGTATCAGATTTTATGAGCACTTTCTCCAATATATTGGATCTAGGTGAAAGGAAAAGGATACATTTTAATTTATTATATTATAATTTTATTTTTCCAAATCTGAGGGCCTCTTTTCTTTTGGAAGTAGGAGAGGCGCAACAGTTGGAGCCAAATAAACATCAATGAGCTTTATCACTGAACTGAATTTAAAGTTCCCTCATTTAACAAATATTTGCCGGGCACAGTGGCTCACGCCTGTAATCCCAGCACTTTGGGAGGCCGAGGTGGGTGGATCACCTGATGTCAGGAGTTCGAGACCAGCCTGGCCAACATGGTGAAACCCCATCTCTACTAAAAACACAAAAAATTAGCCAGGCATGGTGGCGGGCACCTGTAATCCCAGCTACTTGGTAGGCTGAGGCAGGAGAATTGCTTGAATCCAGGAGGTGGAGGTTGCTGTGAGCAAAGATCGTGCCTCTGCACTCCAGCCTGGGTAACAAGAGTGAAACTGCATCTCAAACAAAACAAAACAAAATGAAACAACAAAACAAAAAAACAAATATTTATTCAGCACCTACCAGGTACTGTGTGTGTTAGAAACAGAATTATAAAATAGTTATTACCACTGCCCTCATGAAGCTTAGAGTCTAGTAGAGGAGATAGTCATTTAACACATATCTACACAAACAGATCATTATGAACTGCTAGACATGTTGTGAATGAATGAGACAGGGTGCTCTGACAGAGAATCATGGAATTGGGGAGCACACTTGATATTAGGTAGTCAGGTTATTCCTTAGTGAATAAATGACATTGAGGTTGAGACTTATATGATGATTAAGTGTTTGGAAAACAAAAATGAAAGAAAGAGTGCTTCAGTCAGATAGAATAGCATGGGAAAGTCCTGAGCTGGGAAACAACTTGGTACACTTAAGAAACTGAAAGGAGTCAGAAAGGCTCATCACAATGAACAAGTACAAGTGGAAGAGTAGTGGCATATGAGGCTGTGATATGTGGCATATGACAGGCAAAAGTGAAACCTCACAGTTTTCCGGTCTGAACTAGGGTTCTTGATATATTTATCTAACCTTCTTCACTGACTCTTGATAGTTAGTCAAAAGGTCAAAGAGTCCACTCCACAGAGGTGATATATAGGCTATGACCTCAAAGTGAATAAAATGTGCGATTTCTTCGTTGCTTTGGAAGCTTTTAGTTAGTTGGGATGGTGTTTCCATTTTCTAATTGAGAATGACTGCCTATGACAAAAACCAATGAGGACAGCATCAAATGTTGTCTAGGTCAAGAAAATGTTAAAGGTAGTGTTGGAGACCCATTTTGAGTGTTCACTCTAGTGCACTAACAGACTGGGATCTGGATCCCACAAACTATCCAACATTCTTCTCTCCCATCCATGCCCTGCTGCTGTAATGTTGAGCCTGTTTCAGAGTTCTGCCTAGTATTGCCTTCATTAACTCTGCAGGCATAATCATCACTTGTCTTAAAACATGCCTCAACAAATGCAAAAAGAACTGAAATTATAATAAACAGTCTCTCAGATCACAGCACAATGAAATTAGAACTCAATATTAAGAAACTCACTCAAAACCACACAACTGCATGGAAATTGAACAACCTGCTCCTGAATGACTTCTGGGTAAATAATGAAATTAAGGCAGAAATCAAGAAGTTCTTTGAAACTAATGAGAACAAAGCGACAACATATCAGAATTTCTGGGATGCAGCTAAAATAGTGTTAAGAGGAAAATGTATACCACTAAATGCCCACATCAGAAAGCTGGAAAGATCTCAAATTGACATCTTAACATCACAACTAAAAGAACTAGAGAACTAAAAGCAAACAAACTGCAGAGCTATCAGAAGACAAGAAATAACCAAGCTCGGAGTGGAACTGAAGAATATAGAGACATGAAAAACCCTTCAAAAAAACAACAAATCTAGGAGCTGGTTTTTTTTTTTTTTTTTGAAAAAAATCAGTAAAATAGATAGACTACTAGCTAGACTAATAAAGAAGAAAAGAGAGAAGGTTAAAAAAAAAAAACACAATAAGAAATGATAAGGGGGATACCACCACTGACCTCGCAGAAATACAAGCAACTATCAGAGAATATTATAAACACCTCTATGCACACAAACAAGCAAATATAGAAAAAAATTGATAAATTCCTGGACATATACACCCTCCCAAGACTGAGCCAGAAAGAAGTTGAATTCTTGAATAGAACAATAACAAGTTCTGAAATTGAGGCAATAATAAATAGCCTACCAACCAAAAAAAGCCCAGGACCAGATGCATTTACAGCTGAATTCTACCAGAGGTACAAAGAGGAGCTGGTACCATTTCTTCTGAAACTATTCCAACAATTGAAAAGGAGGGACTCCTCCCTAACTCATATTATAAGGCCAGTATCAGCCTGATACCAAAATCTGGCAGAGATGCAACAAAAAAAGAAAACTTCAGGTCAATATCCCTGATGAACATCGATGCAAAAATCCTCAATAAAAAACTGGCAAACTGAATTCAGTAGCACATCAAAAAACTTATCCACCATGATCAAGTCAGCTTCATCCTGGAGATGCAAGGCTGGTTCAACATATGCATATCAATAAACATGATTCATCACCTAAACCGAACTAAAGACAAAAGCCACATGATTATCTCAATAGATGCAGAAAAGGCCTTCAATAAAATTCAACATTTCCTCATGTTAAAAACTCTCAACAAACTAGGTATTGAAGGAACATAGCTCAAAATAATAAGAGCCATTTATGACAAACTGACAGCCAATATCATATTGAATGGGCAAAAGCTGGAAGCATTCTTCTTGGAAAACTGGCACAAGACTAGGATGCCCTCTCTCACCGCTCTTATTCAACAATGTATTGGAAGTTCTAGTAAGGACAATCAGGCAAGAGAAAGAAATAAAGCATATTCAAATATGAAGAGAGGAAGTCAACTTGTCTTTGTTTGCAGATAACATGATCCTATATCTAGAAATCCCCATCGACTCAGCCCCAAAGCTTTTCAAGCTGATAAGCAACTTCGGCAGAGTCTAAGGATCCAAAATCAATGTGCAAAAATTGCAAGCATTCCTATACACCAACAACAGACAAGCAGAGAGCCAAATCATGAATTAACTCTCATACACAATTGCTACAAACAGAATAAAATACCTAGGAATACAGCTCATTAGGGAAGTGAAGGATCTGTTCAAAGAGAGCTACAAACTACTGCTCGAGGAAATCAGAGAGGATGGACAGAAGAAAAAAAAAATTTCATGCTCATGGATAGGAAGAATAAATATTGTAAAAATGGCCAATACTGCCCAAAGCTATGTATAGATTCAATGCTATTCCCATTAAACTACCATTGACATTCTTCACAGAATCAGAAAATAACTGTTTTAAAATACGTATGGAACAAAAAAAGAGCTTGTATAGCCAGGAGAATCCTAAGCAAAAAGGACAAAGCTGGAGGCATCACACTACCCAACTTCAAACTATACTACAAGTCTACAGTGACCAAAACAGCACGGTAATGGTACAAAAACAGGCACATAGACCAATGGAACAGAATAGAGAACTCAGAAATAAAACCGCACATCTACAACCATCTGATCTTCGGCAAACCTGACAAAAACAAGCAATGTGGAAAGGATTCCCTATTTAACAAATGGTGCTGGGAGAACTGGCTAGCCATATGCAGAAAATTAAAACTAGACCCCTTCCTTTTACAAAAATTAACCCAAGATGGATTAAGGACTTAAGTGTAAAACCCAAAACTACAAAAACCCTAGAAGAACATCTAGGCAATACCATTCAGGACATAGGCATGTGCAAAGATTTTATGATGAAATCGCCGAAAGCAATTGTAACAAAAGCAAAAATTGATAAATGGGATCTAATTAAACTAAAGATCTTCTGTACAGCAAAAGAAACTATCATGAGAGTGAACATGCAACCTACAGAATGGGAGAAAATTTTTGCGATCTATCCATCTGACAAAGGTCTAACATCCAGAATCTACAAGGAACTTAAGCAAATTTACAAGAAAAAAACAACCCATCAAAAAGTGGGCAAAGAATGTGAACAGACACTTTTTAAAAGAAGACATACATGCAGCCAACAAATATGAAAAAAGCTCAACATTACTGTTCATCAAAGAAATACACATCAAAACCACAATGAGATACCATCTCACACCAGTCAGAATAGTGATGATTAAAAAGTCAAGATACAACAGATGATAGAGAGGTTGCAGATAAATAGGAGTGCCTTTACACTGTTGGTGGAATGTAAATTAATTCAACCACTGTGGAAACAGTGTAGCAATTCCTCAAAGACTTAGAACTGGAAATACCATTTGACCCAGCAATCCTATGACTGGGTATATACCCAAAGGAATATAACTCATTCTATTATAAAGATGCATGCATGGGTATGTTCATTGCAGCACTATTCACAATAGCAAAGACATGGAATCAATCCAAATGTTCATCAATGGTAGACTGGATAAAGAAAATGTGCTACATATATATCATGGAATACTATGCAGCCATAAAAAGGAATGAGATTATGTCCTTTGGAGGGACATGGATGGAGCTGGAAGCCATTATCCTCAGCAAACTAATGCAGGAACAGAAAATCAAACACCACATGTCCTCACTTACAAATGGGAGCTCAACAATGAGAACATGTGGACACAGGAAGGGGAACAACACACACTAGGGCTGGTCGGGGGAGGGTAAGGTGGGGGAGAGCATCAGGAAAACTAGCTAATGCATGCCGGGCTTAACGCCTAGGTGATGGGTTGATAGGTGCAGCAAACCACCATGGCACACATGTAACTACGTAACAAACTGGCACATCCTGCATATGTACTCCGGAACTTAAAATAAAATTTTAAAAATTGAATTCAGTCAACTTTCAGAATACAAAATTAATGTACAAAAATCTTTGGCATTTCTATACACTAATAGCTATCAGGCTTAGAAGCAAATCAAGAAGGTAATGTGATTTATAATAGCAATGAAAAAGACCTAGAAATATATTTAATCAAGATAATGAAAGATCTCTACAAGAAAACTACACAAAATTGATGAAAAAAATTATAGATAAAACAAATGAAAAAATGTTTCATATGTATGGATTGGAAGAATTAAAACTGTTAAAATGATCATATTGTCCAAAGCAACAAAGAGATTCTTTGTAATCCCTGTTAATATACCAACATTATTTTTCACAAGATTAGAAAAAAAAAATCCTAAAATTAGTATGAAATTGTGTAAAAGAGCCTGAACAGCCAAAGTGATTCTAAGCATAAAGAACAAAGCTGGTGGCATCACATTACCTGATTTCAAATTATATTACAAAGCTATGGTAACCAAAAGAACATGGTACTTGGATAAAAACAGTCATATAGATCAATGGACGAGAGTAGAGAAGAAAAAAAACAAAGCCACATATCTACAATCACATGATCTTTGCCAAAGTTGACAAAAAAAAAATACACTAGGGAAAGGATACCCTTTTGAATAAAAGGTTCTAGGAAAATTGGATAGCCATATGTACAGGAATGGAGCTGGACTCCTCTCTCCCACTACATACAAAAATCTACTCAAGATGGATCCAAAGACTTAAATGTAAGATAAGAAACTATAAAAATACTAGAAGAAAATGTAGAGAAAGCTCTTCCAGACATTGGTATGGGTAAATAATTAATAACTAAGACCTCAAAAGCACAAGGAACAAAAATAACAATGGACAAATAGTACTTAAACTAAAAATTTTCTGCAAAGCAAAAAAAATCAACAGAGTAAACAGACAGCTGGCAGAATGAGAAAAATATCTGCAAACTATGCATCTGACTGGGTATTGATATACACAATTTACAGGGAAATCAAACAACTCAACAGAAAAACCCAATAGTTCCATTAAAAAGTGGGTAAAAGGACATGAATGGACACTTTTTCAAAAGAAGATATACAAACACCCAAAAAGCATGTGAGAAAATGCACGCCAGTGATGATTAGTGAAATACAAATTAAAGCCACAATGAGATACCACCTTATACCAGTCAGAATAGATAATATTAAAAAGACAAAAAATAACAGATGTTGGTGAGGATGCAGAGAAAAAGGGAATGATTATAAACTGTGATATAGTCTGGTTGTGCCCCCACCCAAATCTCATCTTGAATTGTAGATCCCATAATTCCTACATGCTGTAGGAGGGACTGGGTGGGAGGTAATTGAATCACGGGGGTGGTTTTCCCCATACTGTTCTCATGGTAGTGAATAAGTCTCACAAGATCTGATGGTTTTATAAGGGGTTTCCCTTTTCGCTTGGTTCTCATTTTATCTCTTCTCTGCTACCATGTAAGATGTGGCTTTGCTTCTCCTTTCCCTTCCGCCATGATTGTGAGGCCTCCCCAGCCATGTGGAACTGTGAGTCCATTAAACCTTTCATTCTTTACAAATGACCCAGTCTCGGATATGTCTTCATTAGCAGTGTGAAAACAAATACAAACTGTTACTGGGAATGTATTAGTACAACCTCTATGTAAAACAGCATAAAGATGTCTCAAAGAACTAAAAATAGCACTACCATTTGATCTAGCAATCCCACTATTGGATATGTACCCAAAGGAATAAAAATTAATAAATCAAAAAGATATCTGCTCTCATGTTTTTAGCAGTACTATTCATAATAGCAAAGACATGGAGTCAACTTAAGTGTCCATCAACAGATAATTGGATTAAGAAAATATGGTATATATACACAATTGAGTCCTATTCAGCCATAAAAATGAAGGAAATGCTGTCTTTTGCAGCAACATGAATGGAAGTGGAGGCCATTATCTGAAGTGAAACAACTCAGAAAGTCAGTTACCATATGTTCTCATTTATAACTGTGGGCTAAATAATGTGTACACATGGGCCTACAGAGTTGAATAATAGTCATTGGAGACTCAGAGAAGTAGGAGGGTAGGAGGGAATGACGCATGAGATATTACTTAATGGGTACAATGTATACTACTTGGGTGATGTTTACACTAATTGCCCAGTCTTTAGGAATATGCAATGTATCCATGTAACAAAACTGCAGTTGTACCTCCTTTAAATTTATATAAAAATCAATATGGCAAACAAAATATGCAGGGAAAAATACAATAAGGGAAACTTTTATATTTGTTTACAATACTTAAATGGGAAATTCCTGCAGTTTTGGGGACTCCAAGCTAATAATCAACTTAAGGAGTCTAGATTGATTGTTTTTGATCCTAGAGTAGTGAGTAGAAGCAAATGCAAATTCTCCATGAATGAAAACATCTTCAAGCCAGTGCTCTTGGTGTTGCTATAACTCCCTGCTAAATATAAGATCACAACTCATATTTACAAAGCATATTTATAACAAAGCCACTGTGAACAAGAGTCAGAAAACAAACAAAAAAGTAGTATAATTAAATTATTTGAAGAAATTAAAAAGGAATAACACAGGAAGGAAAATACATCTTATACATCTTTGAAAATAAAGGGCCAAGTTTCAATGGACAGGTGAACTAAAATTGAAGATTTCTGAAGATGGATTATAAAGTATACAGAATGTCACTCATCCTCACCAACATAAAAACACTATAATAATCTTCTACAATACAAAACAAAAAACAACCTACCACCAACAACAAAAAAAAAAAAGACCATCACCACTGGTCTTTCTGCTTCTGCCTTTCCTGCTGTAGTATTTCCTCAACATGCATCCAGGGTAATCTTTCTAAAAAGTAAGTCAAGTCACACCAATTCCTTACTTGATACCCTTCAATGTCTTCCCATCTACAAGGACCATCAAGGCCCTACTTGTCCTTGCACCTTGTTAGCCCTCTGACCTAATCTCATATCATTTTATCCTTTCCTTACTCTTTTCCAGCTCTAGTGGTATATTTGCTATCTATTCTTGGATATGCCAAACACACTCATCTTCTCCTCAGTATTTACCTTCACAGTTCTCTCTGCCTGAAATGTTCTTTCCATACCTATCCACTTGGTTCCATCCTTCACTTTCTACAGGTCTCTGATAAATACTCGCCTTTTTTGTTTATTTGCTTATTTTTATTGTGGTAAAATATACCTAACATAAAATTTATAATTTAAAACATTTTAAGTGAGCCGGGCATGGCGACTCACTAAAAATACTGAAAATACAAAAATTAGCTGGCCATGGTGGCCCATGCCTGTAGTCCTGGCTACTTGGGAGGCTGAGGCATGAGAATTGCTTGCACCTGGGAGACAGAGGTTGTAGTGAGCTGAGATCACGCCACTGTTCTCCAGCCTGGGCAACAGAGCAAGACTCTGTCTCAAAAAAAAAGAAAAGAAAAGAACATTTTAAGTCTACGTTTTCTTGGCATTAAATACATACACATTACTGTGCAACTGTTGCCACCATCCATCTCCAGAACAATTTTATCTTCCAAAAAAAGTTCTGTACCCATTAAACACTAAATCCCCTATAGCCCCCTCCCTCTAGCCCCTTGCCCCCATTCTTCTACTTTCTTACTCTATGAATTTCACTACTGTAGGTACTTCGTAGTGGAATCATATAATGTTTTTATTCCTGTGACTGGCTAATATAGTCAAGATTAATGCGTGTTGTGGCATGTGTAAAAATTTCCTTCCTTTTTAATGCTCAATAATATCCCATTGTAGGTGTATACTGCATTTTGTTTTTCTATTCACCAATCAATAGACACTTGGGTTGACCACTCTGTGTCACACAGTATACATGTACATACACAGTCCTTCATGTTACTCACATACTGCTTTAATTTTGTCATACATCTCATTCTCTGTCTCATTATATATTTAACTTTATTTTACTGTGACATATAACAAAATACTAATGATGCATACTATGTAATATTAAGCAAATGGTATAAACATCAGTGTAATCACCACCCAAATCAATACATAGAACCTTAACCAGTATCCCAGAAGACTCCATCTATTTCTTAAAAATCACAATCCTTTCAAATTTCTCCAAACTTCTCTTTACTAACAACTATGTTAATGCTTATAAAAACCTAGTTGTTGCCTTTATTTAGCTTTTTAACATAAATATATTTCTATAAACAACAGTTTAGTTTGGCATGTACTATCTTTTATAAACCTAATCACATTCTATGTTTGTATTGCATCTAGTTTCTGTCTTTCAATTTTTTTTTTTTTTTTAAGAATTATCCAAATTGGAGGTGCTTCAAGATGGCTGAATAGAGGCATCGGGTGCTTCCCTCCTCCACAAAGAAGAACCAAAATAGTGAGTAGATAATCACACTTTAAATAGATCATCTAAGAGTGAACACTGGAATTCAACAGAGAAATGACAGGGAGCACCTAAAACAAGGAAGAAAAGGAAAGTGGGGAAGTGAGACAGCCTTTTTGGCTGGAATCAGCTGGGAGCCTGGAGAGGCTCCTCATGGTGAGGAAAAGGTAAGTGAGTGACTTCCAGTGGCCTGCATTCCCACTGCAGACTCCCGCATTCTAGCCACAGGAAAGGTCCTAGACCCATAGGAGTCCCAAGACTAACATAAGAAGCTGTCTGGAGACCACAAAAAGGCATTGCTCCAGGAAGAGAGCTCACACTGCATACCATGCACTACCTGATCCACAGTATTATGTATATTTCAAAGTAACTAGAAGGAAGAACTTGAAATGATACGAACATATAAAAATGATAAACACGCAAGGTGATGGATACCCTAAATGCCCTGGCTTGATCATTACACATTCCATGCATGCAACAAAACTCACATGCACCCATAAATGCACATATTACATATTTATGTATAGTGAAATTTCTCCAGAGTGAAATTTCTAAACTATATATATATATATATGTATCTTTTCAACTTTACTGAATAATACATAAACTGTTTTTCTTTTTTTTAAATTTTATTATTATTATACTTTAAGTTTTAGGGTACATGTGCACAATGTGCAGGTTTGTTACATATGTATACATGTGCCATGTTGGTGTGCTGCACCCATTAACTCGTCATTTAGCATTAGGTATATCTCCTAATGCTATCCCTCCCCCCTCCCCCCACCCCACAACAGGCCCCAGTGTGTGATGTTCCCCTTCCTGTGTCCATGTGTTCTCATTGTTCAATTCCCACCTATGAGTGAGAACATGCAGTGTTTGGTTTTTTGTCCTTGCGATAGTTTGCTGAGAATGATGGTTTCCAGCTTCATCCATGTCCCTACAAAGGACATGAACTCATCATTTTTTATGGCTGCATAGTATTCCATGGTGTATATGTGCCACATTTTCCTAATCCAGTCTATCGCTGTTGGACATTTAGGTTGGTTCCAAGTCTTTGCTATTGTGAATAGTGCCGCTATAAACATACGTGTGCATGTGTCTTTATAGCAGCATGATTTATAATCCTTTGGGTATACACCCAGTAATGGGATGGCTGGGTCAAATGGCATAACTGTTTTTCAAGATGGATTTACCAGTTTATACAATCACATGGGCCATATATGAGAATCCCCATCAGTGCAAATTTGCACCAACACTAGATATTGTCTGGCAGTTATTAAGAGTGCAGTTTTGAAATAAGAGTTGAAAAGGTTAAACTAAGGAACATATGTAAAACTGTGCCCCAATTGTATTAGACAAAATACCTTGTTCTCTTGTACATATGGAGCATATATAATAATTGACCAGGCAAGAGGGAATAAAGTAAGTCCCAACAAATTTTCAAGGATCATTACACAGACCACATTCCTTTATCAAAATGCAATCTGGTTAAAGATCAACAAAAAAGGCTTAATAAAACACTCAAGACATTAGGTAATTTTTAAATATGCTTCTAAATGCCTCCTGTGCAAAAAAAATTAAAATGGAAATCAGATAATCATTAGAGCTTAATAAAAATACTACACATCAAATGAAAATATTACATTTCAAAACTTGTGGAATGCAATGAAGCTAAAGCAAATATCCAGGAGAAAACATTAACTTAACTAATTATGTGTAAGGAAAGAAATGCTGAAGACTCACAAGACTTTTCTCTAACTTAAGATTTATTAAATATCAATCAAATAATCCCCAAAAGAATGGAGTGGAACAAAGAGGACAGAAATAATGAAATAGAAAAAAATGATAAAATAGGATCAACAAAGTGAACAACAAAATTTTGGAAAGACTAATGAAATAGAAAAATCTCTGCCATCAATAACAAAACAGTATTAAACATGTAAAGGAGACGTGACTACAAATACAGCAGTTATTGAAAAAATAATGATCAGATATTGTAATCAACTGTAGGCCTATAACTGTCTAAACCTTATATAAATACGCCATCTCCTTAACAATATAATCCAACACTGACAAGAAAAGACAGAAACTTAAATATACCTATAAGCATTAAATTGAATCAGTCCTGAAAAATTATATTCTCTTTTTTTTATTTGTGTTTCTTTCACATACACACTCACACAGACTTGGATAGTTATACAGGTGTAAACTACATATATTCAAAGAACATTTGATTCCCATATTATATAACTTCTTTTATGGAGAATTCAAAAACAGGGAACAATTTAATGAGGGTAACATAAACTTAATACCAAAACCTAACAAGACAGCAGAAGAAAAAATCACAGGATGCCAGGTAAATATTTCAAACATAGAAGCAAAATTCTTACCTAAACATAACGTATTAAACATATTAAATGAAAATTAACTTTAAAATTCTAAATGAATTATATATACACACACACACATGCTGTACATGTCCAGAGAGTACAAGGATAGTTGTAACATTAGAAAATCTGCTAATATTATACTCCACGTTAACGAATAAATAGAGAAAACTCAAATAATAATCACACAAACATAAAAAGGTATGATTCTAACTTCATAGCAGGTGCTTTATTGTCGGTATTCATACCTCTCCCCACCGTTAATATTAAATTTGGACTAATTGCTAATGTTAGTCACGTAGTGGTGTAAAAATAATAGTGAATGAATTAGTGAATTAAAAGTTTATGAACAGCACTCACCTTGGTCTCACTGACAAAAACCATTGTGCTTGCTTTGTGAGCTGCAAAAGCATACACTTACATGAAATACACCATTTTATTGCTGACAAAACTGTATTCTTTGCAGAACATCAAATTCCTAGTGATAAGAATATTTTTTTTTTCACTCTTGGACTGAAAGGGACTTTTTAATCAAAGAAAAGAAACATCCTTAAAGATATAAACATTTGTCTCCAAGTAAAATACATTTGATAAAGATAACACATTGCTGAAATAACTGAATAACACAAATTTCCCAGAAAACACAGAGCAGTGTACAAAAAAGCAGCCACCTGTTATTCTATTTTTATCCATTGCTCTCTTCATTCTTGCCTACAAGGTTAGCTTTCCACTTTAAATAAAATTATAAATATGCCAAAAAAGTAAATAAAAGCTATCATTCTGAATATTAGAAAAAGCAGATATTGTTCTTTAAAGTAGAATTATAGATTCTTCATTCAAATAAGAAAAAAGTAAAGGCTTTTAACCCAATATTCTGATAGGTAATATCATCTTTCAAATGAAGGTTTTGTTTCAAAGAACACTGAACTTTCATCTAAAAGATGTTCCATGGTAGTTTTGTCATAGTAATCACTTACTTTGAAAGAATTTTTCAATTTCTGCTCTGTACATAGCCTTGGTGCAGACAGTCTACAATATTTTTTTTTCCTGAAACTTGGATTCAGTGTCAGAACTAGAAACGCAAGTTAGAAGGATCAACTGCTTTCTCATATAGGATCTTTTTTTAACTTGAGTCAATTTCAACAAACCAGAACACCCATGTATTGCTGATGTCAGAAGAAAGGTCAATAGTTATGATAAAAGCTTTCAATGTGACTACAATCATAAGGCACATGACGTGGGGCTTTATGGAATGGTATGAAGTTCTCTTCAGCGATAAAATCAGATAGTGTTTAATATTTAAATTAGATAGCATTTCCTTAAGTCACAAATCAAACTGAAAAAAAACTATGCCTCTAGTGACCTAAGAAAAGAGTTAATTAAATATTACTATCTTATACGTAGATGGCACTTAAGAGCTTAAAACACTTTCCATGTGATCCTCATTTACAGATGAGAAACAGTTTCAGTAACATAGCTGTAATAATATTAGTAGTACTGCTCTACACCTAGCTAACACTTACTGAGTTCTTACTCTGTGCCCGGCAAGCATCCATAAACAGCAGCATCATGCTAATGCTAGTTGGCTTGCCACACTTCCATAGATCCGAACAGTAAGAAGACAACAAGCCTAAATAGATTCAGTGCATTACATTCCTGTACCCAGGAGATGACACTGAACCTGAAGGGCCAGAGGGACCCAAGGGGTGGTTCACTCTATCACTAAGGAAGCAAACAGTTCTCTAAACTTACACAGAAGTTTGCAGCTGTGCCCTAAGAAGGCAGGGCAAGGTGGAAAGTCCCATGCCTCATTGGAACCAGAGAGATAGATGACAAGCTATCTTATTGCAGACTCCCACAAGAACCGAGGAGGATGAGAAATGAACTTAGGATGCGTTCACAAGACTGCCCATCTCTCCATGTTCCTGGGAGGATTACAGAGTGTTCTGCCAAGGCTCAGGTTAAACTGCAGTTGGCTTTGCCTACGTGAGCTATGTAGAAGAATGCAAGGTCACTAGCATGCTATGGTGGAGCCATTCCTCTACAAAGACATTATACAAATTAATCTTCAGAAGAAGATACTATTATTATGTCTTTGTTACCAACAGAAGACCTGAAAGAGAAAATGCCTAATACTTACATGTGCCAAGAGCAGGATTTGTAAATTTATATTTGAGGGGCTACAATGAACAAAACACCGAATTTAAGAAAGCGTATACATGGGAAGCATTTAATTTTCTCACCAAGAGGTCTGAGGGTTGGTGATTCCAGGGTTAGTTTGGCAGTTCAATCATGTCATTAGGAACCCGTATTATTTCCATGATTCTGTCATGTTCCTCACATACTTTTTGTCCTCAAGCTTGTCACCTAATGATCACAACATAGCTGTTTTATCTCCAAATATCACATCATCACAGGAAAATGATCAAACCAGTAAGGCAATTTGGGGAAAGAGAAAAGGTGCTGTCCTAACAAAGCCAGACTTCTACTAGCAAGGGAGTAGGGGAAATGGTCCTGAGTTGGCAATCAGCAGTCTGTCACACAGCTTAATCAGTACTGGAGTGAAAGCAAGAACAGAAACTCATACATTTGCGATTTAAACCCACTGCTCCCAAATATGACACATTTTCCCCACGTGCCTATTTACAAGAAAATTTTTAATTTCTTCCATCAATGGCACCCAATGAATAGACAGAATAGATTTTATTACAAATATACCTCATTCTATAGGTAAGTCTCTTAGGTTTATCCTGTCTAAGTCTGAAGAGAGCAAAATACAGCTAACTATGCCCTTCAGCTGAACTGGAAGGTTCTGGTGTGTTCTGTGAGTGATCAGGACCAGGCTTTCTTTGCTTTATTTTGCAGAAAATTTTACTGTTTCTTCTTCCTCCTCTCCCCTCTTCTGTTCCTCCTCCCCCTCCTCCTCCTCCTCCTCCTCTTCATTTGTACTTTACAGAGTTTCATATCCAACTAATATTATTGAACAAATATGTAAAAGGAACAATGAAAAACAATAATAGTAAAGCAGCTATCATTAACTGAATGCATAACATGGGCCAGGCATCTAACATAGATTGTTCATAATCCTCACAACTATTCCACTGAGGGAAATATGAAAACTTCCTGTTTTTCAAATCATGTAAGGCTCTTTTATAAATTTGTATACATGTACTTATTTAAGAAAAGGTATTGAAAAAGTTATATGTGCAAAATTCTATGCTAGACACTATAGATGCAATTATTAGCAAAATGAGGCACAGTACAGTTTAGTAGAGGAACACACGCATTAACCAAAAAAGGAATAATTATGTGAAAAATTATGTGAAAAAATATGTGAAAAAAATGTGAAAAAAATATGCAATTGTGATAAGTTCTCATATACAAGAAATATATTATGTTGTGGAAGCCCTTAGGGACACTTGGCCTAATTAGCAATGACTGCGTCCCATGAGGAAATGATACAAGAACTGAGAAAAGAAGGATAGGTAGACGTTATCTATCTGAAGTGGTGGCATTCTAAGCAAAAGGGAAATCATTTGTAAAGACCATTTGGCAGGAAAGTAAAAGTAGGCTGGAAATGGAGGGTATGGTGCTGAACAGATCTTGAGAAGTAGGTAGGGACAACATGACACAGGGCCTCATAGTGTTACTGGTGGAGGGTGTCCAGGTCCTTGGCATTTTGAAGAAAGAATTGGACAAAACACACAAAGCAAGGAAAGAATGAAGCAACAAAAGCAGAGATTTATTGAAAACAGAAGCACACTCCACAGGGTGGGAGACGGCCCAAGCAGGCAGCTCAAGGGCCCAGTTACAGAATTTTCTAGGGTTTAAATATCCTCTAGATGTTTCCCATTCATTTACACGGCATATGTCCTATGTAAAGGAAGGGGCTGAAGTGAAGTTACAAAGTTATTTACTTGGTGTACACCCTATGCAAATTAAGAGGATTGTATTAGTCAATTTTCACGCAACTGATAAAAATATACCCAAGACTGGGCAATTTACAAAAGAAAGAGTTTATTGGACTTAGTTCCACATGGCTGAGGAGGCCTCACAATCATGGTGGAAGACAAAGAGGAGCAAGTCACATCTGACGTGGATAGCGGCAGGCAAAGAGAGAGCTTGTGCAGAGAGAAACGCCTGTTTTCGAAACCATCAGATCTCGTGAGACCCATTCACTATCACAAGAAGAGCATGGGGAAGACCCACCACCATGATTCAGTCATTTCCCACCAGGTCCCTCTGACAACATGCGGAGATTACGGGAGCTACAAGATGAGATTTGGGTGGGAACACAGAGCCAAACCATATCAAGGATAAAGTAAAGTTCAAAGTTATTTACTTGGTGTACACCCCCCACAAATGAAGAGGATGTTTCCTATCATACCTGAAGTAGAGTTACAAAGTTATTTACTGGGTCTTAGAAAGTTAGGGTTTTTCCATTTGATTGAGTTCTAGGAAGTCTTTAGGTTCCCTGCCTCCAGGCCCTATTCTCCTGCCTCAGTAGTTCATGAAAAGATCATGTCTTTAAATCAAAAGCAGCATAGGATATTCATTTATAGTGTGATTCACTCATTCATTTAAAAAATGTCTAGTGCCTATTATATGCAGACACTAGGCAGGGTACTGGGTATGCATAGCAAGCAAGATAAATATGGTTCCCGTCCACAGAAAGCTTAGAGTTTAGTGGGGGGTACAAATATCAATTACTCATGAACCCAGAAGTATCTGAGACAGGTCTCAATCAATTCAGAATGTTTATTTTGCCAAGGTCAAGGATGTGTCATGACACAGCCTCAGGAGGTCCTGATGACACGTGCCCAAGGTGGCTGGGGTACAGCTTGGTTTTATACACTTTAGGGAGACATGAGACATCCATCAACATGTGGAATGCGTACATTGGTTCGGTCTGGATAGGCAGGACATCCTATCCAGGAAGTAGGGGGAGGGGTTCCAGGTCATAGGTAGATAAGAGACAAAAGGTGGCATTCTTTTGGGTCTTTGATCAGCTTTTCACTAAATACCCAACTTGCTTGTGAGTCAGGGATAGAGGAACAGTCACTCACACCTTAGTCTGGCTCAATGAATCTGCATTTTTACATAAACAATAGGGCAGAGGAAGTATGCAGATATGCATTTGTCTCAGGTGAGCAGAGGGATGGTTATGAGTTCTGTCCTTCGTCCCACACCTGTAAAGATAGGCTATTAATTTACATTGCCAATGTGAAATTAAACAGAACTGTTTTAGTGTAAAGGTCTTGAGGACCACAAGGAATTTCCTTGTGGGCAAATTGTGAGGAAGGTACGTAGCTTTTTTATCTTTGTAGCTATCTTATTTAGGAATAAGGTGGGAGGCAGGTTTGCCTGACACAGTTTCCAGCTCGACTTTCCCTTTGGCTTAGTGATTTGGGGATCCCAAAATTTATTTTCCTCTCACATACTAAACACAAAACTATTACATTGATAATAATTGTAGTAAAACTGAAGAAATGGAATAAGGTGCTCTGATAGAGGGCCTAATGCAATGCTCTTCTATAGGTGCTGAGAAATAAGGCAGGAGGTAAATGAGGCAAACAGGAGTCCTGCCTTCATGGAGTTTATAGTGTGATACAGTGAATGAATACAGGAAAGCAAATAGATCACTGCAATGCTGTATAATAAATTCTAAAGTAGGGGAACACAAGAACTAACTGCCAGTTAAATAAGGTGAGAGTGTGTGTGAAGGGTAGAAAATGAGAAAATGAAATATAGAAAGCAAGTACGTACAGTAGTCAGAAGTTCTGTCCACATTGTGCAGGGCACATAATATGATTGTTCTTCCTTTCCTCATTGAAGTGAGCTCTGGCCACATGACTTAATTTGGCCAGTGGAATGTGGAAATGTGATTAAATATGGTGTGTTTACTTCTAGAAAGAACCATTTAAGAAAGGGATTAGCAAACTTATTTTTCTGTGACAGGCCAGACAATAAGTATTTAAGGGCTTTCTGAGCCACATATAGTCTCTCTCACAAAAATTCCATTCCGCCCTTCCAGTTAAAATACAGCCACAGACAAGACATAAGTGAATGAGTGTGGCTGTGTTTTAACAAAGCAGATGGTGAACTCGATTTCGTCCACAGGCCATAGGTGCCAACACCTGTTTAAAGATATCATGAACAAATCACCATGTTCCCTTCCTGCTGGCCAGAATAAGAAGCGATGTTTCAAACAAGGAAGAGTCCATCAACCAGGATTCCCAAGTGAGGATGATGGGAAGCTGAACACACAATAAAGTCAAGATATCTGTGTATCAGAAGCAATAAACTTTTGTTTAAGTCACCTAGACCTTTGAGTTGTTTCTTACCACAGCATGACCTACCCCATCATGACTAATATAACATTCTTCTTCCTTAATTTAGTTATATTCTCTAAGTAATGAAGAGAATACAAGAGAGAAATGAACATTTAAGAGTGAGAAATATGAAAGCTTCTTAAGTTGCCAGGATCCAACATTAAACTTTCAAAAAAGTATGTATTTATTTTTAATGGACAAATAATAATTGTATACATTTTGGTGTACAATTGTGATGTTCCTATATAAATACATTTCTGTTTTACAAAAAAGAATTGTATTAATAAAAAGATTGATAACTACCTTTCCATGCTGGATTTACCAAAATAATAGTCTTCAGATGCTACTTGATATCATCCATTTTTGGATAACATCCATTATTTTCTGATAATAAACAAAAAAACTTGCCCTGACTCCCATAAATCATGGTAGGGAAGCATGTTATATTTACCAATCCTTGCCAGTGCTCTCCAGGCATTTTCATATTCAAACTATTAACCATATTAGGATAACTAAAGCATTTAAAAGCAGCAACAGACAAATAACTTCATTTTAAATGTTCTAGCAAAGTGAGTATTCTGAATACCAATAGCTTGTTGATGCTGCAGCAGATTTATGTAGATGCAGTGTGTTCTTGCCGTTCTGGATACATGTTTATAATCAGCAAACACTGGGGAATAAGTTTATTCTTACCTAAGTAAATATCTGTGAACTTACAAAGATCAAAAAAGAAGGTGTTGGGATAACTGTGATAAAAAAGTATTCTATAGGCAATGGGATAAACCTTAACATAAGCTAACATAAAAAGATGTGTGTTTAAAATTCTGAACAGCTAAGATCTTACCACTTCCAGGCTCTCCATCCCTATTTTTTTCTCTCTCACATATACATCTACCATAGTGTGGCTTCAGATATGAGACTCTTCTAAATTTCAAAAGTGACGAAAGTTACTTATTTGCATGAAAGTTCTTCCCATGTAATAAACTATGAACTCTTCGGATTGGAATTCAAAGCCATTAACAATCTGACCTCTTCCTACTTCCCTTAACCCATTTTATGCTTTAGTCAAAACAAACTACCCATTTTCTATGTATATGTCATGCCTCCTTTCCTGACTCTATTTTCTTTACTCAGCATACTTCTCCCCCACCCCCAACCAGGTTTCTCTCAATGGGAATTACTGGTCTAACATCCCAGGCTCAAGGACTGTTAACCTTGAAGATGCAATATTAGTCCTTGTTAATAATGAGCTTAACAGACTGACACATAGGAGACACTGAGTAACCAAATTTTTACATAAACATATAAATGAATACAATAAAATGTTGAAGAAAATAGAAACACTTACAGAAAAATAACGGTGTATCAGGAACAAATGATTATGATGTAGTCAATTCCGTGAATCTTGGTTCCATAAAAAACATACAAAGTAAAAAGAAACAAGAAAAGAAAGACATTAACTACATTTTTTTTTAAGTAATAGAAGATAGTGAAAACTGTATCCAGAGAAAGAACAAAAGCCATACTTTCGAGGTAAAATTATCTGCATAAAGAGTCAGTGGACTGGGATCTACTGAAATACAGATCATGGGATGAATTCGAGAGGCACCGAAAGAAAAACAGACATTAACAAATGCGGAACTTGACTGAAAAGAAATTATATGTGATGTTGTTTTTGTGTTTTTAAAATTTTTATAAGTTTTAATTTCAACTTTTATTTTAGATACAGAGGCTACGTGTGCAGGTTTGTTAAACAGGTATTTGGCACCCAGGTAATGAGCATAGTACCCAATAGGTAGTTTTTGTACCCATCTCCCCATCTCCCTCCCTCCTTTAGTAATCTGCAATGTCTATTGTTCCTATGTTTATGTCCATGTGTGCTCAGTGTTTACCTCCCACTTGTAAGGAAGAACATGTAGTATTTGGTTTTCTGCTCATGCTTTAATTCACTTAGAATTATGGCCTTCAGCCCCATCTATGCTGCTGCGAAGGACATGATTTCATTTTTTTTATGGCTGTGTAGTATTCCCTGGCGTATATGTGCCACATTTTCTTTATGCAATCTATCATTATGGGCACCTAGGTAGGCTCCATGTCTTTGCATTGTGAATCGTGTGGCAATGAACATACGAGTGCTTGTGTCCTTTTAGTAAAATGATCTATTTTCCTTTGGGTATATACTCAGTAATGGGATCGCTGTGTTAAATGGTAGCACTGATTTAATTTCTTTGAGAAATATCCAAATTGCTTCCCACAATCACTGAACTCATTTACATTCCCACCAAAAGTGTATAAGCATTCCTTTTTCTCCACAGCCATGTTAGCATCTGTTGTTTTTTTAACTTTTTAATATAATAGCCCTTCTAACTGGTATAAGATATTATGTCATTGTGGTTTTGATTTGCATTTCTCCAATGATTATTGATGTGGACCATGTTTTTCATATGTTTGTTGGACACTTGTGTGTCTTCCCTTAAGAAGTATCTGTTCATGTCTTTTGCCTATTTTTAATGGGTTTTTATTTTTTGCTTCTTAATTTGTTTAAGTTCCTTATAGATTCTGGATATTAGCCCTTTGTCGGATACAGAGTTTGTGAAAATTTTCTCCCATTGAATAGCTTATCTGTCCCCTTACTCTGTTGATAGATTATTTTGCTTTGCCGAACTATTCTAGTTTAATTAGATACCACTTGTCAATTTTAGTTTTGGTTGCAATTGCTTTTGGGGACTCAGCCAAAAATTCTTTGCCACAGCCAATATCTAGAAGGGTATTTCCTGGGTTTTGTTCTAGGGCTTTTATACTTTGAGGTCTTATATTTAAACTTTTAATTCACTTTGAGTTAATTTTTATATATAGCCAAAGGCAAAGGTCTAGTTTTATTTTTCTGGATATGGCTAGCCAGTTATCCCAGCACCATTTGTTGAATAGGGCGCCATTTCTGCATTGTTTTTGTTGGCCTTTTCAAAGATCAGATGGTTATAGATGCATGGGTTTATGTCTGAGTTTTCTATTTTGTTCTACTGGCGTATGTGTCTGTTTTTGCACACAGTCCCATGCTATTTTGGTTACTATAATCTTACGGTATAGTTTGAAATCGGGTAGTGTGATGCCTCCAGCTTTTTCTCTTTTTGCTTAGGGTTGCTTTTGCTATTTGGGGTCTTTTTTGATTCCACATGAATTTTGAAATAGTTTTTTTTCTAATTCTGTGAAAATTGATGTTCAGAGTTTGATAGGAATGCTTTTGAATCCATAGATTGCTTTGGGCGGTAAGGCCATTTTAATGATATGTATTCTTACATATTTATTCCATGAGCATGGAATGTTTTTTCATTTATTTATGCCATCTCTGATTTCTTTTAGCAGTGTTTTATAGTTCTCCTTGTAGAGATCTTTCACCTCCTTGGTGAAATATAATTCCAGAATTTCATTTGCTTTGTCACTGTTATAAATGGGATTATGTTCTTGATTTGATTCTCAGCCTGGATATTGGTGTACAGAAATGCCACTGATTTTTGTACATTGAATTTTGTATTCTGAAACCTGACTAAAATAGTTTATCAGCTCTAGGAGCCTTTTGGCAGACTCTAGCATTTTCTAGGTATAGAATCATATAATCAGTGAAGAGACATATTTTGGCTTCTTCATTTCTTATTTGGATGTCTTTTATTTCTTTCTCTTGCCTGATTGTTCCTGCTAGGTCTTCCAGGACTATGTTGAATAGGAGTGGTGAGAGAGGGCATCCTTGTCTTGTTCCAGTTTGCAAGGAAAAAGGTTCCAGCTTTTTGCCATTCAGTATGATGTTGGCTGTGGGTTTTTCATAGATGGCTCTTATTATTTTCGGTATGTTCTTTTGATGCCTAGTCTATTGAGAGTTATTATCATGAAGGATTGTTGGATTTTATCAACAGCTTTTTCTTCAGCTATTGAGACGATCATGTGATTTTTGCTTTTAATTCTGTTTACGTGATGAACTAAATTTACTGATTTGTGTATTTTGAACCTTGCATTCCAGGATTATAGCCGACTTGATTGTGCTGTATTAATTTCTGATGTAGTGCAGTACTTTGTTTGCTAGTATTTTGTTGAGGATTTTTGTGTCTATATTCATCAGGGATATTGGCCTAAAGTTTTCTTTTTTCATTGTGTCTGTGCCAGATTTTGGTATTAGGCTGATGCTGGCTTCATAGAGTGAATTAGGGAGGACCCCCTTCTATTCAAGTTTTTGGAATAGTTTCCATAGGATTGCTACCAAATCTTATTTGTATGTTTGATAGAATTCAGTTGTGAATCCATCTGGTCCATGCTTTTTTTTCTGGTTGGTGGGATTTTTATTACTGATTCAATTTCAGAGCTCAATATTAGTCTACTCAGGATTTCAATCTCTTAATGATTCAATTCCGGGAGATTGTGTCTTTCCAGGAATTTATCCATTGCTCTAGAATTTCCAATTCATATGCATAGAGTTCTTAATATTCTCTGAGCATCTTTTGTATTTCTGAGAGATCAATTGTAATGTCATGTGTCATTTCTGATTTTACTTATTTATATCTTCACAATTTTTACTTTGTGAATCTAGCTACTGGTCTATCAATCTTGTTTACTTTTTCAAATAACTAACTTTTGGTTTCATTTATCTTTTATATGGATTTTTGGATCTCAATTTCATTCAGTTCTTCTCTACTTTCTTCTCCCTCTGCTAGCTTTGAGATTGGTTTGTTATTTATTTTCTAGTTCCTTCAGGTTCAAAGTTAGATTCTTAATTTGATGTTTTTCTACCTTTTCTATGAAGGTGTTTAGGACTATAAACTTTCCTGTTAACATTACTTTAGCTGCATCCCAGAGATTTTGATAGTATGTATTCCTATTGTCATTAATTTAGAAGACATTCTTCAAAATATGTGCCTTAATTTTGATGTCCATCCAGGATTTATTTAGGAGCAATTTGTTCAATTTCCATGTATTTGTATGGTTTTAAGCAGTATTGTTGACGTTAATTTCTATATTACCCTGTTGTCTGAGAGTATGCTTGGTATAATTTCAGGTTTTTAAAATTTACTGAGACTTTTTTTGACTGCGAATGGGGTTGATCTTGGACTATGTTCCATGTGCACATGAGAAGACCGTATTTCTGTGGTTGTTGAGTGCTCCGGAGATGTCTATTAGGTCAAACTGGTCAAGTGTCAAGTTTAAGTCCAGAGTTCCGTTGTTAGTTTTCCTCCCTGATGATCTAACACTGTCAGTGGGGTGTTGAAGTATTCTACTCACTTTTATTGTGTGGTTGTCTAAGTCTTTTCATAGGCCAAGAAGAACTTGTTTTTATGAATCTGGGTGCTCCGTTGTTGGGTGCATATATATTTTGAATAATTACATCGTCTTTTTGTATTGAACCCTTTATCATTATGTAATGCCCTTCTTTTTCCTATTTAATTATTATTGGTTTAAAATCCATTTTATATGATAAAAGAATAGCAACTCCTGCTCTTTTGTGTTTTCTGTTTGCATTGTAGATCTTACTCCATCCCTTTATTTTGAGCTTGTGTGTGCCATTACATGTGAGATGGATCACCTGAAGACAGAAGATGGTTGAGTCTTGGCTTTTTATCCAGCTTGCCACTCTATGCCTTTTAAGTGGAAGTTTAGCTCATTTACATTCAGGGCTAGTGTTATGTGAGATTCTGATCCTGTCATCATGTTGCTAGCTGGTTGTTATGTAGACTTGACTGTTTGATAGTCTTTATAGTGCCTGGGGGCTATGTGCTTAAGTGTGTTTTTGTGATAGCAGTGCCATTCTTTTGATTCTATGTCTAGCACTAAGGACCTCTTGTAAGGTTGGTCTAGTTGAAATTAATTCCCTTAGCATTTTTTTCTTTGTTTTTTGTTTGTTTTGTTTTGAGATGGAGTTTTGTTCTGTCGCCCAGGTTGGAGTGCAATGGTGCAATCTTGGCTCACTGCAACCTCCGCCTCCTGGGTTCAAGCAATTCTCCTGCCTCAGCCTCCCGAGTAGCTGGGATTACAGGCATGCACCACCACAGCTGGCTAATTTTGTATTTTTAGTAGAGATGGGGTTTCACCGTGTTGGTCAGGCTGGTCTCAAACTCCTGACCTCAGATGATCCGCCCACCTTGGCCTCCCAAAGTGCTGGGGTTACAGGCGTGAGCCAATGTGCCTGGCCAGCATTTGCTTTTTTGAGAAAGATTTTTTTTTCCTCTTTCACTTATGAAGTTTAGTTTGGCAGGATATAAAATCCTAAAAATATAAAATGTTTTTTCTTTAAAAATGCTGAAAATAGGCCTTCAATTTCTTCTGGCTTGTAAGGTTTCTGCCAGAAGGTCTGGTGCTAGCCTGATGGGGATCATTCAGTATGTGACCTGTCCCTTCTCTCTAGCTGCCATTAAGTTTTTTTTTTTTTTTTTTTTTTTTTTTTTTTTTTTTTTTTTTGCATTGACTTTGGTGAATCTGACGACTGCGCATTGGGGATAGCTGTATTGTATAGTATATAATCAGGGTTCTCTGTATTTCTTGGTTCTGCATGCCAACCTCTATAGCAAGTTTATGAAAATTGTCACGGACTATGTCCTCAAATACCTCTTCCAAGTTGTTTATTCTCCCTCTTTCTCTCTCAGAATGCCAATGGGTCATAGATTTGCTCTCTGTAAATAATCCTGTATTTCTCAGAGTTTTGTTCATTTAAAAAAAACCTTATCTTTGTTTTTATCTGATGTAATTGATTCAAATAACACATCTTTGAGCTCAGAGATTCTTTCCTCAGCTTGGTCTATTCTGCTGTTAATACTTCTATTTTTATTATGAAATTATTGTAGTTAATTTTTTAGCTCTAGAAGTTTATTTTGGTTCTTCATTAAAATGGCTATTTTGTCTTTCAGCTCTTGGATCATTTTACTGGATTCCTTGGACTAAGATTCAACTTTCTCCTAAATCTCAATGAGCTTCCTTGCCATTCAGATTCTGAATTCTGCCTGTCATTTCAGTTATTTCTGATTGGATAAGAACCATTGTTGGGGAGCTAATGGACTCATCTGGAGGTATGGGGACACTCTGGGTTTTTTAATTGCCAGAGTTCTTGTGTTGATTCTTATCTGGGAGTGTTGGTGTTCCTTTAATTGTGGTTTAAGTTTATTATAGTCAGTTGACTTCATTTCTGGATGTTTTCAGAGGGCCAAAGCTCTGTGCAGGGTCTTTATTTGTGGCTGAATTATTGCCCTTGCTTTCAGAGTGGTATATACTTTCAAAGCATTTTTGGTTTTGTAGTTTGGGCTGCGATACAGTAGATTGTGCTTAAGAGTAACGACCAGTAGATAGGCTCTTACTCAGCTGTGTGGCTCCTTTGTATTTCCTCATGTTTGCAGCCATGCTCTGTGATGTGATGGGCAAAGAGGTCACTCCCTCATCAGGTCCACTCCTGGGTTTTGGGGAAGCACCCTCTGATCGCTGGCACTATGCCTGCATTTCTTTTGTTAGATGTTCCAGGAGAAACACAGAGCCACTGACAATTAGAATGATCAGACAGGAGCGGGGTGGCTGTGCTGCAGGCCCAAGCCAGGGGACCCTGTTGGAAGAAGAGCAGGGGTGCGGTCACACAGAGAAGACAGTCTGTCCTCCTCTCCACAGGGCATCTGTGGCATGCTAGAGGTGTGAGCAAAGAAATGAGCCTATTTGTTTCCTCCTTAGCTGCAGGGGAGCAAGTGCAGGTACCTGCTAAGGCCTTTCTGTTGTCTTTGGGAGCTCCACCCCAGAGAAAGCAGAGTCACTGACTAAAGCGATTAGGTGGAGGTAGGGTAGCTGTGCTGGGGTCCCAGGCTAGGAGGCCTTGCCCAGTGAGGAACAGCAGGGGCAAGGACGCACATGGAAAACAGTTTCGCTTCCTTTCAATACAGCAGCTGCAGTGTGCTGGAGGCCTTGTGACAGTTTTCAGGCTGTTTGCTCCCTCCCCAGCCTGAGATAAGCAGAGGCAGGGACCTTGACAGTGGCAATCACAGTGGGAGTTCTGGCTCAGAGAAACGGAGAGTTGTGACCATCTGGAGTCCTCAGCTGTGGTAGGGTGGCTGTGCTGGGGTCCAGGCCGGTGGCCCTTGCCTGGCAATGTGCAGCAGATGTGGGGCCTAAAGTCTGTCCACTCCTTAGCACTGTGGACGCAGCCCCTATCCTAGGGGCATGTGAAAGGGTCAGACTTCCCTTGTTGTCAGGGCTACAGAAGCTGGTGCCAAGGTGCTCAGGGATCCAAGGCCCATGGGACTCAATGTGGGTTTGAGTGCTGGCTCTGCTCAGACTCCAGGCAGCTTTCTGTGTCACTCTGGAGGCCCACAGTGGTCAGGTGGGCTCTCCCATGCTCAGCTTGCAAAGGTTCACGGCAGCAGTGTAGGTCCCCAGGGACTGTCACTCACTCACCATTTTAAAGGGACAGGCAGCCTCTCCTGGCTCCATGCCAATCCTGGGTAGGTGCCTTGCTCTTCTCTGCTCTCCATGGGTTGTCATTGTTTCCTTAATGAATCGCAGCGTGGTCTCCTGGGCAATCCACTTTAAGAGCTAGTGTGTATTCACCACTCTGTCTCCTCCGAGAGAGTGGTACACACTAGCTGCTTTTAGTCAGTCATCTTGAACCTGTCTCATATGTGAGTTTC
The DNA here is from genome assembly GCF_000001405.40 of Homo sapiens. Lineage (NCBI taxonomy): Eukaryota > Metazoa > Chordata > Mammalia > Primates > Hominidae > Homo > Homo sapiens. The sequence continues at coordinate 147,377,534 of NC_000023.11, forward strand.
TAAAAATTAAACATTTTGTTAAACATCAAGTTCTCTTTCAGCAAAAAGTAAAGGCATTAAAATCATTAGTAAGGATTCTTAAGTTAAGCATTCTCTCCTGACCAGAAAATTCTCTTCATACGAAAAGTAGAGAAGCTAGGAAACAACAGAATATTTAATTCAAATATATGTTATCAATCAAAAACAAAAACCAAGACATTATAATATTTAAAAAAATTAAAATAGAAAATAAAAGCAAAATGAACCAATTCATTAGTGTGATACTACACATTTGATGACCAATAGTGATTGTCAAAAATCTCATTAATATGAATGCTGCCTTGGCATCCATCTTATTGTCTTGTCCCTAGCTTGTCACCCTTGACCTACATATTTTGAGACAGTCCTCTCAGTTCCTGTTTTTTTGTTCCAGGTAGATAAGGCTCCATACACTGAAGTGCTTGACCATCTTATTTCTGCTTGTAAGCAAGCCTGGTGAAATTGACAATTTAAGCCCATATTCCCATGCTTAGCCCCTTGCTCCTTTCAAATTAACCAATACAACCTGTCACAGAAAAATCTACATAGATAAGGACCCAGACCTCGAAAAAGGCATGGGCCCACAGGTCCCTCCCTCTCACTCTTACTCTCTACCTGCTGGCTGAGTACACGTCCTGAATGCCCCCTACTCATTCCCATTGGCCCTGCAAAGCATGCTGCCCTCTTCTCTCTGGAGTTTGTGAGTAATAAACTTACTCTTTTGCCTTTCTGGTCTGAGTTTCCCTTACTGTGCTGTACGTGACTACACCAAACTTAACAAATACTTAACAAATTAAAACAATATTACCAATGTTTTGTAGGAATATAAACAGATCTTTTTAAAATTGTAGTTGTGCTAGTCAATAAATAAGCATCCAGTTAAAGTGAATTTCAGCAATTTAGTGTATCTCCATGTTAATGGAAGAGGCCTAAAATCAACCCAAGAAAACATCTGAGGTTGGTATTTTCCATGTTATTCTTCCTAGTGATTCAATATATTCCAAACAAGTTTCTTAACGGGAAGTTTAAAAATGATCTTAAGTTGACAGTGAACAATAAAGGGCATGACAATTTTTTTTTAGTTCTTGTTTATTTCATTTTTATATCATCGTCTCCTGCCGAGTGTGGAAAATGGACTTCAGTTCATATACTGATACCTCAGCCTTTTATTTGAATAGACTTTAAGTTTGTTACTGATTTTAAAGTGGAAATGTTGCCTTCTTTAAAAGTAGAGCATTTGCTGAAATAATGCCTACATGATCAAAACATGTGCATACAACTTTTAAAAAATGTCATTAGTCATCCGCATAGTTCTCTACCTAATCCAATGTCTAACACTTTAGAGAAAAAATAACATTTGCCTTGCCGATTATTCCCCAGATATTATCACTCAACTTTTCCTGTCACGTGATCATTTGTAGAAAGGATATGTTTTCAAATAGATGAAAATGTTTATTCTAATATTTGCACTCGTGTGTGAGCATGCCTTTTGCATTATACATGTATTTGTACATAGTTAACTCTTAAAGTTCTATAACTTATTTGAAAACTATATGGACTTTTTCCTTTTCTGTTTTCTACATGCAAAGTCTACTTGTAAAGCCGCTATGACATATACTTGATTGCCCATGCCCCCCGCCAAAGTTAGTTTAAATATAAATGCAGCTCAAACTTTTTACACGATTTGAAAGATTCACTAGTCTGAAAATGCAAAAAAGTACTAGCAGTTATGAAAGCTTTGTATTAAAGAAGAAGCATCACAAGAGTAGATTATTTTGAAATTAGAAAGAGTTTCCTCTGTGTAACTGATGAGCAAAATCTAAACTGGGGAAAATGTCATGTCAATGAAAATTTTAAATGGTAAACTTTACCCAAGGAACAAAGTAGTTTTGCCTATAGAAAGGATTACGCAAAATAGGATTTAAGAAAGATAAACAGTGGATACTGAATGGAGAATTTTAATCATTCACACACACATTGAAAACTATATAGAATTAGAAAAGATAGAGGAGCAGTTAACTAATATTTCAACCTGGATTACTATTATAAAGCCTAAGTGAAGAGTGGCCTTTTCTTGAACTGACACTGTTTATGGAGAAAATAAAAGGGAATTATCTACTGCAAAGTCACAGAGAAGGATTTCTTTTTAAAATGCTATCTAGATTATTACAGAGAAAATTGATTTTAAAATGCTGACATAAAATGATTGAAATATTGTGTACCAATAATTTTCAATATGTAGTAAGTGTCAGAGTCTTAATTCCTACTCTCTACTGTCCATTATAGTCACTCAAAATATAATATCTAGGATCTTGTTTACCCATTTGAAATACAAAAACTATCTCCACATTTCCAGGATGAGGTAAGAGTGTAATCTGGATAATTCAAATCCATTAATTTTGTGTGTATATGTGTCTGAATGGGGCTGCTATTTATAATATTGATAATGCTAATGATTATACTAATAATTATAGATCTAATTATCCAATAGTCACTAAGTACCATAATTAGACAAGGCCCTACAGATCATTAAGTCCATTTTTATTCAAATTTCATAAAGCAATAGAAAATAGAATGTCACAAAATATTTAATAGTGACAAAGGTAGAATAATTTTATTGAAGGTCCATTCTGTGCCCCTCGAGTTCTCTGTAAGTCCTTTATTTTAATTGAAAATGAAGTTATCAAACTAAAATAAACAAATTCCTGACTCATCCTTTCTCACTTAAAAAATCTAGCCGTCTGTGTGGATGCCACCTGCAGTTCTTTGAAGTATGGTTACTGTAGCTTTAAGAGAGAGCACCAAATTCATGCCAGTACTCCATAAGTGCCAGGCTGCATGCGCCATCAGCTGCACTAGGTAGTGATCTATCACCCTTGGTGTAGAAAAAGCAGCCCAACAAATGTAACATTTTCATATATACGCACAAATACTTAGACACGTATTTCTGTACCACACTCCCTCACCTCCCCAACACATACATATATAGAAGCATCAAACTTGTTCGTACTGCAAAAAGTGGCTTCCAAAGATTCCCATCTATATGCCCTTTATTTGGCTTGTTCATTAATCACTCATTTATTGAGTAACTATGATGTATCAGAAATGGTAAAAGACATGGTCCTTAATGGCACAGATCTTACTGCATTTATGGGAGGTGTCCCATTAAAACATTCCTATAACCTGTTCTGAGTAGGTAAGACTAGGTATCCCACAACACCACAAAACACCCATAATCCTCCAGTTGACATGAGTTGGAAAGAATGTATGTTTCCCTGACTCAAAGGGAGGTAATTGGCCAAGTAACAAAGTTACTCTCTGACAAGTCTCCCAGTGCCAAATGATGGTGGCCGCTTAAAGTATCTGAATTAGGGGTGGGGAGTATTTTGGCAATAAGTATGATGATGAAGAAACACAGAAAATGAGTCTATAGAAAGAATCAAGAGAATGAAAAAAAGGAATAAACAAAAGACTCCAAAGCCCCACCCAGAGATATCAGGGGAAAATTCTTCCAAACTTTTACTTTATATGTGCTAGATAAGTTTATTTTTCTTGAAGCCAAAAAATGTAACTAAAGCAAAGGAAATAAAATAAGTATGTTAGCACTTTTGAGTTGTTGAATTATGGGTGATTTTTATCTTCTTCAATACAATTTCTACATTTTCAAAATTGTATGCAATGACCCTGTAAGGCTCCTAAAATTAGATAAGTGTTCATTCGTTCAACAAATATTCATTGGACACCTACTATGTGGCAAGCACTGTCCGAGACTTTAAATATATAACTGGGAAATAGTGAAAAAGGTCCCAGCTATCGTACAAATCATATTAGAGTTCATGATTTACCACATTATTTTATTTCTGCTTTCTGGAGAAAGCAAATGTCTTCAAATTATTTCTTTGGTTCGGCTTGCTTGTAAGAGGTTTATGTATGTGCATGAATCTTAACACTGAGTTATTAGTAAGATTGACAGATGAAAACCAAAATTCATCCCAAAATGTTATAAAATCTTTTAAAACAAAATGATTAAAATAAAATACATGAGTACATACATAAAAATAAAATTATAATATTTATTTGCAGAAGCCCTATTTAAGTTCATTCAAATTGTATTACATCCTTGGTTAAGTTGAACTTTAAAAAATAGATATACATAGGAACTTTAATTTGAACTTCTATTGATTGAAATTATAGTTTGCATTATGATGGGAAGAATCAAGTATATATTAGACTACATTAACAGATAAATATTCTGGGGATTCTTAAATGTTAAGTAGACAGTCTGATCCCTACCCATAGCTCATCCAAGGTTTTGTAATATTGTTTTACATCAATCAGATAGGCAACATTTTTTAAAGGCAGCTGTAGCTGTGTCAAATACACTGCAGATATTTCTAACTCTTTGAAAAGTATAGACAAGAACAGAACAAAGACAGCTTGTGAAGATCTAAAGGTTTATCTCAGGAAAGTTATCTGTCTTGGAAAGCTGCTTTGCTGTAATAACCTATTTTCAAGGACAAAGAGTTTGTACAGAAAAAAATACAATTCGCTGAGTAATATTGTGAAGAATGTAAAATGTAATTATAGTTTTATCAGCAAGGCAAGTTCGTTTTCAAATAATTTTTCAAGGTAACAACAGGATTTTACTTGGCTTTTTGATTCATAGTGCTCTCCAATACAAGCTGTTAACCTGCAATTGCCTATGGGTATATGCATATCTAAAGAAAAATACTGCAAAAGAATTATTGAGCATGAAATACTCCCATGCATATTGTACAGCAGTTTATCTTGAAATTGACCAGGAAATAGAGCTAAAGATGTTATGTGAAATTTTAAAATGTAACTCACACCTCCCTTTGCTCCGTAATTATAGAGAAAGGGCAAATCTGATGAATTTCAGTTTTATTTATACTTGAACATATTTTCAATACTATGTCTTTTCATTGATCAAGAAGAATATATGTACCAGTAAATACTCACTCAATGCAAATTTGTTTCCAATTTTACAGTGGGGCTTTTAGCTTAATGAAAAACGTCCCTCCCTACGAATATCATTTACCTAGCAGTTCGGGTCTGTTAAGAGAGAGCTGGTCCAGGGTGGGTAGAAAAAAGAAAAGGGCCATTTGATGAACATTTCGTGTATCTCAGGCACTTTATGGTACAGCTTACATCTATTTTCCCATTTCCTCTTAACAATTCCAGTAGGCAGGTATTATTGTTATTCATGTTTTCCAGTTAGTAAGCAGGAATACAGAGATAACTTGCCCAAGATTACAAGGCTGATAATTGGAAGGGCTAGGACTTGAATCTAGGACAGTCAAAATTAGAGCCCATTCTCTAAACTACTATGCCAGATTGACTAATTGAAGAAATGGGGTATATCCAAATTTGTTCAATGTCTATTTGGTGACTGCTGTTACATACCAGGCACTGGACTGAGTGTTACAGAAACTGATAGTATTTGTTCTGTGCCCTTGAGGAGTTCAAGATCCTATGCAAGAGACTAATATATTAACTAATGACTATAAAGTGAGATAACCATAATAGGAAAAGGGTATGTACTGTGGAAATAACAACATGAAAACAGCTAACTGTGCTTGGCAGCTGGAGAAAGACCTCATATAGGTGAGTGACATGTGAACACTGACTTGAAGAAAGAATGTTTGTTCAACAACTAGAGGATAACAGAATACTGAAGGAATGGTGGCAGGGTGGGTACACTTTAGGCAGAGCATACACTAAATGTAAAAATATTTCTTTTGTTCAAGGAATCCAAAATAATTGAGATTTAATCACCAAAAGCTTAATATTTGAAGGTAAGCCTAGAAATTTGGGAAAGGTACACGATGCAATGAACATTTCTTGAGATAAAGAAACTTTACTGTCTGTAACTTGACTAGAAAGACAGTACTGATTTTTTCCTGCCTTCAAAGCTGAGTATTAAGGCTGCTTTTGCTTTGTCAACTCCATGTGTTTTCTTTGGGGGAGCAGAAGTGAAAGAAATAGAGCAAAATGTAAGGATCACCATTATCATGTTTATGGTATTCCAGAGGTCATCCTCTAAGGTTTCCAAGTAATATGCATTCAACGATATGTGTCCTGTCACCAAGCAGGGAAAGACCCTCTTCCAAGGTGAGGCTGTGATTGATCACACTGCCAACACCAAGGTGACATCTCAGCATTTACTACTTATATGAACAGAGAATCAGCAGCAGCCTGTACTGCACAGAAGAGAGCACTTACAGGGAGAGATAAGAAAAAGCTCTATGGCAGTCAAAGTAAGTTACTATTTTGCAGGCCGAAAGAATACTTGTTATGTTTATAGTTTATATAATAATCCATCCATTCAGGATAGCAAGTTAAAGTCTTGCAATCGTTAGCTCAAAACTCTTCAGAATTTTCTTCTTCTGTTCAGGATTTAAACACAAAATACAAGTCTTTATTTTACACATTTAGACACAAAATACACATGCATGCTCACAGGTGTGAGTGGGCATGCACACACATGTTCTTCGGAAAAGAAGGGCACACTGAAACTGACCCCAACATTTCTAGTTTATTTCCTCCTCTAAAGAAAAGTGAAAAGATTGCCACATGCATAAGAGATCTCTAATCTGACCTTGCGTACTTCTCTTTCAGCCTAGTGAAGGAATTGCTATGATTCTATAACAGGGAAAATGTTTACATCTGCTCTCATGTAGTTAAGCATGGTCAACAAGAATTCTTCCTTGGAGAAAATGAACTCCGATGTGTCTATGGGACTACGAGCTGAGGTGTAGCATTTTCTATTTTTACTTTTAAATTTAAATTTATTTATATTTTGTTATTTAAATTGGCCTAGAAAGGCTCATAAGTGTGTATTTTCATGGGTGTGGATTTACCCTCACCTGTTTACAAACAAAATTTATATATTTACATGACCACTATGTTAGCCAGAGTAAATAGGACAAGCTCAACATATCCTAAAGAAAAGATGAACTCTGGCTTAGAAAAAAATATATGCTAATAACTGTACTTGTAAAGACCATTTTAAATTCTGGCAATTCCATCATCAACTGATTAGAAAAAAGTGACTCAGTACTTTTAACAGGTGAGCGCCTTACTAGGCCCTTCAAGGCCCCTTAATCTTTGTTTTTTTCTATTGCAATTACATAATGAAGCACAGTTTGATTGGTATATTGGTCCATCCCTGAAGTAGTCAGTACAGTTTGGCTGTTGTAATGAGCAATTTTAAAATAAGAGCAACTCAATAACATATTATGGTATGCTTCATGCAGTCAATAAAGAATCGGGACTTCTTCTACTGAATGACTCAACTGTCCATTAAGTCCTAAAATAAATCCACTTTATCAAACAGTTGCAAAATAGAAAAGTATGTAGAAAATCACATGAGATGTTTTCGGTGCCAGGCCTGAAGGTTAGGTGCATCACTTGACTCCACAATTTATTTTCCACAATTCAACCAAATGCCTCCTACTGATTGTGGGGATGATGGGAAATATAGTCTAGCTGTGTGCCCATAAGGAAAAGGAAACAGAGTTTGATAAACACATATTATTTTCCCTTACTAATCTAGTAGTTGCTTTGCTTTGGGGACAGATATCAGACACTAAAGTAAAATTTTTACTCAACTCTTTTGGGTATTCTAACAACATAAAATTCACTTTTTTATTATAGAAACATACCAACATTTAATAATCTCAGAAAAAGAATTATGTATAAAAGTGCCTATTTCTATTCTTGCCAGCATCGTATATTATTGTTTTGTTGCAAAAGTAATACATTCACTTAATAGAAAATGTAAGCACTTCTACAGAATAAAAATGGTGAGCAGATATAGCCACCCTAATTTTAACTCATTTATACTTTCAAGTGATACATTTCATTGTTTTTAACAGCTTTAAGGTATAATTGATATAAAAATTGCACATATTTGATGTACGAAATTTGATGAGTTTGAGCAAATGTGTACATCCATGAGATCATCATCACAATCAAGGTAATAGACACATCCATTACCTCCAAATTTCTTTGTGTCCTTTTTTCTGTGTGGTAACAAGACTTAACATGAAGTCTACTCTATTAACAAATTTTTAAGTACACAATGCAGTACTAACTATGGGTGCTATGTGGTGCAGTCAATCTCCAGTTATTACTTATCTTGTATAACCCAAACTTTATGTCAATTGAACAATAACTCCCCATTTTCTGCTCCCTCCAGCATTTGGTAACTACCATTCTATTCTCTGCTTCTATGATTTTGACTATTATATGCATACCTCATATATAAGTAGAATCACTTATATGTTCTTCTGTGCCTGACTTGTTTCACTTAGCATAATGTCCTCCAGGTTCATCCATGTTGTCACAAATGGCAGGAGTTCCTTCTAAGTCTGAGTAATATTCCATCATATGTAAATATCACATTTTCTTTATTAATTCGTCTGTCAACGGCTATATGGGTGGTTTCTATCTCTTGGCTCTGGTGAATTATGCTTCAGTGAATATGACAGTATAGTTATCACTTCAAGATAGCAATTTCAATTCTTTTGGGTGTCTATCAAGAGATGGGTTTGCTGGATCAGATGGTAGTTCTATGTTTAACTTTTTGAGAAACCTTCACACTGTTTTTTATAGCAGGTACAACCTTTTACATTCTTGTCAATAATGTACAAGGGTTCCAATTAATCTCCATCATCTCTAACACTTTTGTCTTGTCTTGTTGACAATATTCATCTGAATAGGTGTGAAGTGAAATCTCATTGTGGTTTTTATTTGTATTTCCATGATTATTAGTGATATTTAACATCTTTTCATATAATTGTTAATTCATATGTCTTCTTTGGAGAAATATCTATGTAAACTCTGAAAAATTTTTAATCAGATTATTTGGGTTTTTAAATATTGAGTTATAGGAGTTCCTTATATATTTTGGATATATTAAGGACATTAACCCCTTATCATATATGGTTTACAAATATTTTATCCCATTCTGTAGATTGCCTTTTCACTCTGTTGTTTCCTTTGCTGCACAGAAGCTTATTAGTTTGATGTAGCCCCACTTGTCTAATTTTGCTTTTATTGCTTGTGCTTTTGGTGTCATATCTAAGAAATCAATGCCATGCTCAATGTCAATAAGCTTTTCTTTTATGTTTTAAGAGCTTTACAGTTTCAGGTCTTACATGTAAATCTTTAATGCATTTTGACTTGTTTTGTGTATGGTGTAAGAGTTCAATTTCATTCTTTTGTATATGAATATTCAGTTTTGTCAGAACCATTTATTGAAGAGATTGCCCTTTCCCCATGTATTATCTGCATCCTTGTTGAAAATCATTTGACTGTATATATGTAGGTTTAGTTCTGGGCTCTTTAGTTTGTTCCACTTGGTCTATATTACTGTTTGTATACCAATACTGTACACTATTTTAGTTACTGTAGTTGTATGATATATTTTTAAATTGGAAAGTGTGGTGCCTCTAGCTTTGTTCTTCTTTCTCAAGATTTCTCTGGCTATTTGGAGTCTTTTGTTGCTCCATATGAATTTTAAGATAGTATTTTTTATTTCTGTAGAAAATCCCATTGGAATTTTAATAGGGATTGTCTGGACCCTGTAGATGGTTTAGATAATACGGACATTTTAACAATATTAATTCTTCCCTTTAGAAACTGACAATGCCAAGCTGTGTGTAGATTTTCACTTGGCTGTTAGATAACCAGGTAGAATCAAGCCATTTAGGATAAACAAGGCCAAAGCTAGAGGTACCAAATGAAAAAAAAAATCAACATTGATTTTATTGAAATTGTACTGAGTTTTTGTTTTTGCCATTGTCAAAAGAAACATACAGAGCAGCATTTTTTTAGTCATACACAGATTGCACACAAAATTTGATAACTGTAGAACCTCTTCCCCCAAATGCATATATACATATACAAACAAAATAATTATCAATACAATTTTAAGAGATTTGCATACAATCATACTTTGGTTCCATGAGGGACTGGCTCATAGATACCAAAATCTGTGGATACCCAAGTCCCTGATATAAAATGGCAGAGTATTTGCATACAACCTATACACATTCTCTGGTATACTTTAAATCATTTATACATTACTTATAACACTTAATACAGTGTAAATATCATATAAATAGTTTACACTATATTTTTATTTGTATTATTTTGTATTGTTTTTATTTTTTTAAGAATATTTTCTATCTGCAGTTGGTTGAATCAGCAGAAGTGGAATCGATAGATACTGAAGGCCAACTATACCTTCAATTAAGAACTACTGCTTTAGACCATATACCAAAGCACTTTATAAAACAGACAATTCCTATGATCAGTGAAGGTTTATGTTAAGGGACTTAACCTTCTTAGGACACTGTCTTACATCAATCACTTACTTTATATAGACAACATGAGAAAAATGACATTACCAACAATTATAAAATGTCTGGGTTCTGGGGGCTTTAAAGAACATCTAGATACCACATGCTGGACCAAAGGTCAGCAAACTCTTTCTATAAAGGGCTAAATAGTATATATTTTAGTCTTTGCTGCTACTACTTACCATTATAGCATGAAAGTAGCCATAAATAATTCCTAAACAAATGAGCATGGCTGTATTTTAATACCATTTTATTTACAAAAGCAAGTGGTGGGTCAGATTTGGCCCATGGATCACAGTTTACTGACCCTGAGTCTTGGGAATCACCCTTGGATTTTCTGCAAAATCTTTACCAGGTAGTCAATCAAATATAAGTTTAAATATCGCAAAGATGAAGAGCTCATTTTCTCCAAAGCAAGACCATTATACATTAGGACAGCACTGAATATTACCTATGAAAGCAACTTTGACACAGAGACACTAAAAAGTTCCAGCAACAGGTAACGTTTGTAAAATCTGTGACTTTTCTTCTTTTTTAAAAAACCAAAACCTATAATTAAATATAGATTTAATTTTAAAAATTGAGTACCTATGATTTTCAAAGCCAACATAACATTGGAAGATAGAACTTCATTTTATTAATTGAATAGCCTGGACTTTAAGGCAGTATATCTCATCTTAATACTTTCCCTCATATTTAGTATATATTAGAAAAATGGCTGACACTGTGTCAACCACTAGTGTTGAGAAGCAAGCTGGCAATATAGCTCAAATTAAAGGACAAATATACATTAATATGGTGTTCAGAGAGTAGTAAGTACAGAAAAGACACACAAAGAGTGGCCCCTCTCCATATATATGTTGCATGGAGACAGAAACTCTATGATGGATACTGTATGCTCCGCACATGTTTCTACCTTAATGGGCACTGACTATGGATGAAACAAAGCAAGCTGGGCACTCTACAATAGAAAGAAAACATACAAGAATAATACCTATCCTCAAATACAATTTGGAACAAGAAGTGGCCATAGAAGAAAAAATGGATCTAGGGAAAAAATATAGGTAAAATACAGACCGTTATGGAGACCAATGTCAAGTGGTTTGCAATCTTATGGATGAAAGTCAGCCTGATTAAAAAAAAAAAAAAAAGATAAAATTGGGGAATCATTCCAGGCCCCGTGACTTCCGGTGAAGGGGTGAGTTGAGCAGGCGAGGAACAACTCACTCTTGCCATGTACTTCAATCATTCTGGCAGCAGGATACCCCACAACTCCCACGGACACTTTAACTGTCAGGGAGAGCTGCTTAGAGAGGTGGTAGGGACAGGATTCCAGCCGGTGTGGAGCCCAGAGGGTTTGGTACAGGAATGTCTGCAGGGGAGCATGGCCAGAGATGCCCATTCCCTAAGGTTCACCATGCTCCCTGAGGAGATGCCAGCCTTAGGGCAACTGTCAGAACTGAACAAAGAGGGGCCAGTCTTGCCCATGAGATAGGTCCAGTCTGACCTGAGTGCACTTTTGTCTGCTGGCCTCTTCTGGGGTCCTAGCTTCGCTTTGCCTGCTTGCAGTACAGTCTTGAATGCACAACCTGGGTGCCTCCTGGGGGCTCAAATCATAGCTTCTGCACTGTCAGACTGCACCTGACTGTCATCGGAGAACTGCGGGAGAGCAGTTCCCACTGACATGCATCAGCCCACCCGAAAACTCCCCCTAACACAGCCTTCCCCGTGCCACCTGGCTGGCATGCACTCACCCATGGCCATCCCCCCATTACTTTGCCAGCATGCATGTGTTCAGACAGACCTCGACTCGCCTTCAGTACTGGTGAATGGCTGTACATGCATCCCACCATGCCATTGTTACCAGCATGAATGCATCAACTGCCCCACCTGATGCCCTATGGCTGCGCTACCATTGAGGGCAGAAACATGCTTGGGGACACCAGCAGCCCCATACCCTTCACGACGCCACCACTGCTGCCAGCGTGAATCCAAAGGATGTATTCATCCAGCAGGACACATGAATACAAGTGGACTTGTGCCCCAACACCCTTCCAGCCCGGCACTGAGTCTACTGTTTCCAATGCCCAAATGGAGGCCAATAGCCCCAAGCTTGCCAGCGCCTTGCTCCAGCTGACGAGTGTGCACCCTGCTGTGCTGCTGCTTCTGCTGCCACATGTGAATGGGCACGGATCCTGCTGCCACTGCCCAATGAAGCACTTTGGCACCATTCTTCAGAGTGTTGTGGCCAGTAGTCTAGGAACACATTGTCCCTTCCAGCACAACAGATTCCCAACCTCAAGAGGCCAGAGAACAAAGCCAGGGCCAATACCAGCCCCGTAGTGTTAGAGCACAGAGCCCAGGAGTGTTGAGCTGAGCCTTGGTACCCCCAGAAATCTAATGGAAATGAAGTCAACCAACTGACCCCATCTTATACCACAGTCAAACTCCCAAGGACATCAAAGAAGATATTAAAAGCAAAGCAAATGAACAAAAAACAACAACAACAATAAACAAAAGAAAAAGCAACTTCAATGACTGAAGGAACATCAACCCACACAGATGAGAAAAAAACAGTGCAAGAACTCTGGCAACTCAAAAACCCAAAGTGTCTTCTGTCCTCCAAACCGCCACACTAGTTCCCCACCAATGTTTCTTAATGAGGCTGAAATGGTTGAAATGACAGAAATAGAATTCAAAATATGGATAGGAACAAAGATAATCAACATTCAGGAAAAAGTTGAAGGACAATCCATAGATTCTAAGGAATACAATAAAATGATAAAGGAGATGAAATGCAAAATGGCCATTTTAAAAAAGAACCAAACTGAGCTAATAGAGCTGAAAAGCTCACTTCAATAATTTCAGAATACATTTATAAGTATTCATACCAGAATCAACCAAGCTGAGGAAAGAAACTCAGAGCTCGAAGACCAGCTTTCCAAAATAGCTCAGACAAAAATGATGAAAAACAAACAGAAAAGAATGAACAAAACGTCTGAGAAATATAGGATTATGTAAAAACACAAAATATCTGACTCATTGGTGTCCCTGAAAGATTGGAAGAGCAACTTGGAAAATATATTTCAGGACATCATCCATGAAAAATTTCCAAACCTCACTAGAGAGGACAACATTCATATTCAAGAAATTCAGAGAAATCCTGCAAAATACTACACAAGAATACCATACCCAAGACACATAATCATTAAATACGTCAAGGTAAAAATGAAAGAAAAAATGTTAAAGGCAACTAGAGAAAAGTGGCAGCTCACCTACAAAGGGAACCTTATCAAGATAACAGTAGACTTTTCAACAGAAATCCTACAAGCAAGAAAAGAATGGAGGTCAATATTTAGCATTTTTAAAGTAAAGAATTTCCAGTCAAGAATTTCATATCTAGCCAAACTAACCTTCATAAGCAAAAGAGAAATAAGATTGTTTTCAGAAATGCAAACACTGAGGGAACTCATTACCAGACCTGCCTTATAAGAGGTCCTGAAAGGAATGCTGAACATGGAAAGAAAAGACCATTACTGGCCACTACAAAAACCCAAACAAGTACATAGACCAACGACACTATAAAGCAACCACACAAACAAGTCTACCTGATAACCAGCTAACAACACGATGACGTGAACAAATCTGCCATATCAAACTTAACCTTGAATGTAAATGGCCCACATGCACCAATTAGAAGGTACAGAGTGGCAAGTTGGATAAAGGAGCAAGACCCACATTTTGCCACTTCAGGAGACCTATCTCACATGCAATGACACACATTGGCTCAAAGCAAAGGAATGGAGAAAAATCTACCAAGCAAATTAAAAACAGAAAAAAGCAGGGGTTGCAATCCTAGTTTCTAACAAAACAGGACTGCAAACCAAAAAAGATAAAAAAAGAAAAAGAGTGTCACATAATGGTAAAGGGATCAATTCAACAAGAAGACATATATATCCTAAATATATACACACCCAACACAGGGACACCCATATTCATAAAGTAAGTTCTTAGACACCTGTGAAATAACTTAGATAACCACACACTAATAGTGGGAGACTTCAACATCACACTGACAGTATTAGACAGACTATCAAAACAGAAAACTAACAAAGATATTCAGGATCTGAACTGGAAACTTAACCAAATGGACTTGATAGACATGCAGAGAACACTCCACCCTAAAACAACAGAGTGTACATTCTCATCACCACATGGCACATACTCTAAAATTGACAACACAATTGGACATAAAGCAATCCTCAGCAAGTGTGAAAAAAATAATAATACCAACCACGCTCTTGGACCACAGCATAATAAAAATAGAAATAAATACTAGGAAAATAACTCAAAATTATAGCATTACATGGAAATAAATGTTCCTGAATGATTTCTGGATAAATAATGAAATTACAGCAAAAATCAAGAAATTATTTGAAACTAATGAGAACAAAGATACAACATACCAGAATCTCTGGGACACAGTTAAAGCAGTGTTAAGAGGGAAATGTATAGCACTAAATGCCCACGTCAAAAAGTTAGAAAGATCTCAAAGCAGCAACTTAACATCATAACTAGAAGAACTAGAGAAACAAAAGCAAACCATACCCAAAGCTAGCAGAGGACAAGATATAACCAAAATCAAATCTGAACTGAAAGGAATTGAGATGGACAAAACCATAAAAAAATGAGAAAAATTTAGAAGTTGATTTTCTGAAAAAATAAATAAATAAGATAGACTGCTAGCTAAATCAAGAAAGAAATAGAAGAGCCAAATAAACACAATGAGAAATGACAAAGAACATGTTATCACTGACCCCACAGAAATGCAAATAAACATCAGAGCCTACCATGAACACCTCTATGCACACAAGCTAGAAAATCTAGACAAAATGGATAAATTCCTGGAGATATACCACCTCCCAAGATTGAACCAGGAAGAAATTGAATTGCTTAACAGACCCATAATTCATTTTGAAATTGAATCAGTAATGAAAAGCTTTTCAACCAGAAAAAGCCCAAGACCAGATGGATTCACAATCAAATTCTTTTTTTTCTTTTTTTTTCTTTTTTGAAACAGAGTCTCATTCTGTCAAACAGGCTGGAGAGCAATGGTGTGATCTCGGCTCACTGCAACTTCTACCTCCAGGGTTTAAGCAATTCTCATGATTCCGCCTCCTGAGTAGTTGGGATTACAAGCATGTGCTACCAAGCCCATCTAAGTTTTTGTATTTTCAGTAGAGACAGAGTTTCGCTATGTTGGTCAGGCTGGTGTCAAACTCCTATACTCAAGTGATCCACCCGCCTCTGCCTCCCACAGTGCTGGGATTACAGGCGTGAGCCGCCATGCCTGGTCTCACAGCCAAATGCTACAAAATGTATTAGGAAGAGTTGGCACTCTTCCTACTAAAACTATTCCAAAAAATTGAGGAGAAGGTACCTCTCTAACTCATTTTATGAAGCCAGCATCATCCTGATACCAAAACCTGGTAGAGATACAATAGAAAAAGAAGTCTTCAGGCCAATATCCTTGATGAACATTGATGTAAAAATCATCTACAAAATACCAGCAAACTGAATCCAGCAGCACATAAAAAGCCTAATCTACCATGATCAAGTAGGCTTTGTTCCTGGGATGCAAGGTTGGTTTAACATACGGAAATCAATAAATATGATTCATCACATAAACAAAAATAAAAATTTAAAACCATATGATTATCTCAATGGATGGAGAAATGGCTTTCAATAAAATTCAGCATTCCTTCATGTTAAAATTTCTCAACAAAATAAGCATTGAAGGAACATACTTCAAAATAATAAGAGCCATCTATGACAAACACACAGCCAACATAATATTGAATTGGCAAATTTAATATGCTGGAAGCACTCCCCTTGAAAACTGGCATAAGACATGAATGACCTTTCTCATCATTGCTATTCAACCTAGTAATGGAAGTCTTAGAGCAATAAGGCAAGAGAAAGAAAGAAAAAGCATCCAAACAGGAAGACAGTAAGTAAAACTATTCATGTTTGCAGGTGATATGTTTCTATACCTAGAAAACCTGGTGGTCTCTGCCCAAAAGCTTCGTGATGTAATAAACAATTTCAACAATGTTTCAGGATACAAAATAAATGTACCAAAAATCAGTAGCATTCCTATACACCAACAAAATTCAAGCTGAAAGCCAAATCAGGAATGCAATCCCATTCATAGTAGCCACAAAAAGAATAAAATACCTAGGAGTACAGCTAACCAGGGAGGTGAAAGATCTGTACAATGAGAATTACAAAACATTGCTCAAAGAAATCAGAGATGACACAAAAAAATGGGGAAAAATTCCATGTTCATAAATAGGAAGACACCATATTGTTAAAATGTCCAACCTACCTGATATGGTTTGGCTGTATCCCAACCCAAATCTTGTCTTGAATTGTAACTCCCACAATTCCCACGTGTTGTGGAAGGAACCCAGTGGGAGGTGATTGAATTATGGGGTCAGGTCTTTCCGCGCTGTTCTCATGATAGGGAATGAGTGTCACAAGGACTGATGATTTTAAAAACTGGAGTTGCCCTGCACAAGTTCTCTCTCTGCCTGCTGCCACCCATGTAAGATGTGACTTGCTCCTCCTTGCCTCCTGCCATGGCTGTGAGGCCTCCCCAGCCATGTGGCACTGTAAGTCCATTAAATCTCTTTTTCTTCCCAGTCTCAGGTATGTCTTCATCAGCAGTGTGAAAATAGACTAATGCAGTAAATTGGTACTGGTAGAGTGGAGCATTGCTGAAAAGATACCCAAAAATGTGGAAGTGACTTTCGAATTGGGTAACAGGCAGGGGTTTGAACAGTTTGAAGGGCTCAGAAGAAGACAGGACAATGTGGGAAAGTTTGGAACTTCCTAGAGACTTGTTGAATGGCTTTGACAAAAAAGCTAATAGTGATATGAACAATAAGGTCCAGGCTGAAGTGGTCTCAGATGGAGATGAGGAGCTACTTGAGAACTGGAGCAAAGGTCACTTTTGCTATGCTTTAGCAAAGAGACTGGCAGCATTTTGTCCCTGCCCTAGAGATCTGACGGACTTTGAACTTGAGAGAGACAGTTTGGAATTGGAACTTATGTTGAAAAGGGAAGCAGGGCATAAAAGTTTGGAAAATTTGCAGGCTGATGATGCAATAGAAAAGAAAAACCCATTTTCTAAGGAGAATTCAAGCAGGCTGCAGAAATTTGCATAAGTAACAAGAAGCCAAATGTTAATTGCCAAGACAATGGGGAAAATGTCTCCAGGGCATGTCACAGATCTCCATCAGCCCCTCCCATCATAGGCCTGAAGGTCTAGGAGAAAAAAATGGTTTCCTGGGCTGGGCCCAGGGCCTTGCTGCTTTGTATAGTCTTAGGACTTGGTGCTGTGCATCCCAGCCGTGGCTAAAAGGGGCCAAAGTATACCTCAGGCCATTGCTTTGGAAGGTACAAGCCACAAGTCTTGGCAGCCTACATGTAATATTGGGCCTGCAGATGCACATAAGTCAAGACTTGAGGTTTGGGAACCTCCACCTAGATTTCAGAGAATGTATGAATATGCCTGGATTTTCAGGCAGAAGTCTGCTCCAGGGTAGAGCCCTCATGGAGAACCTCTGCTAGGGCAGTGTAGAAGGGAAATGTGGGGTCAGAGCCTCCACACAGAGTCCTCACTGAGGTACTGTCTGCTGGAGCTGTGAGAAGAGGGCCACCACCATCCAGATCCCAGAATGGTAGATCCACTAACAGCTTGCACTATGCACCTAGAAAAGCTGCAGACACTCAACACCAATTGTGAAGGCAGCCTGTAGGGATGATATACCCTGCAAACACACAGTGGTGGAACTTCCCAAGGCTGTGGAAACCCACCTCTTGCATCAGCATGACCTGGATGTGAGACATGGAGTGAAAGGAGATGATTTTGGAACTTCAAGGTTTAATGACTGCCCTATTAGATTTCAGACTTGCATGAGACCTGTAGCCCCTTTGTTTTGGCCATTTTCCCCCAATTGGAATGAGGGTATTTACCCAATGCCTCTACCTCATTGTATCCAGGAAGCAACTAACTTGCTATTGATTTTATAGGCTCCTAGGTGGAAGGGACTTGCCTTGTCTCAGATGAGACTTTGGACTTAGACTTTTGGGTTATGGCTGGAATGACTTAAAACTTTAGGGGACTGTTGAGAAGTCATGATTGTGTTTTAAAATGTGAGGACATGAGATTTGGAAGGGGCCGGGGTGAAATTATATGGTTTGACTGTGTTCTCACCCAAATCTCATGTTGAATTGTAGTTCTCATAATCCCCACGTCATGGGAGGGAACCAGTGGGAGGTAATTGAATCATGAGAGCAATTACCCCTATGCTGCTTTTCTTGTGATAGTGAGTGAGTCCTCTCAAGATCTGATGGTTTTATAAGGGGCTTTTCCCCCATTTGCTTGGCACTTCTTGCTGCTGCCATGTGAAGGAGGACATGTTTACTTCCCCTTCTGCCATGATTGTAAGTTTCCTGAGGCCTGGCCAGCCATGCTGAACTGGGACTCAATTAAACCTCTTTCCTTTATAAATTATTCAGTCTCTAGTATGTCTTTCTTAGCAGTGTGAGAACGGACTAATACACATGCATATAGTGTGTAGTGGTGAAGTCTGTGCTTTTAGTGTAACTATCACCTGAATTGTGTACATTGTACCCATTAACTAATTTTTTATCCCATGACCCACTCCAAACTTCATACCGTCTCATTCTCTCACCCTTCTGAGTCTCCAAGTTCTATTATTGCACTCTCTGTGACCATGTGTACAAGTTATTTATCTCCCACTTATAAGTGAGAACATGCAGTGAATTCTACTATTTGTTGTCAGGACTTTGCCAGGTGGATTAAAAATACATTATTCTACTTAAAATTCAGCAAAATCCCTAAAATTATTACTATTAATTTTACCCATTTAACATATAAAAAATCTGAGTATTTGAGAGGATAAGAAATGTTACATAGTCCATTTTATTTAATAATCCATACTTTTAAGTCTAAGATAATAAGTAACGGTGACACAAGAATCAAGAATTACTACATGGCTCCATGTTATAAGAAAGGGGAGGTCCTTGAAATTGAACTTTAGTCCAGAAAGAAGCTCCAAGAAACTTTAATACCATGAAGGACTGTTTCTTCTATCTTGTTTAGTCAGAGAGGTTAATACATAGTCAAATAAGCCATAGCTATAAGGACCACTGCAGACCTCACTGAGGGTTGGCACTGAGGACTGCATTGTGAACATCCCGGCTTTAGAGGTAACCTGACTCAATTTCCAGTCCCAGCTCTAGCCCTTACTAAACCAGGTGACCTTCTTAGGGTGCTTAACATCTCTGAGCTATAAAGTGGGGAAAATATGAACATCTGTAGTTCTCTAAGACTGTGTCCCCATCTACAAAAAGCAGTATATAATATTTATTTCTGAGTTTGTTGTAAGGATTGAAATAATGTATAAAAAGAGCCTAGTAGCTGGGTGCAGTGGTTCACGCCTGTAATCCCAGCACTTTGAGAGGCCAAGGCGGGTGGATCACTTGAGGTTAGGAGTTCGAGAACAGCCTGGCCGACATGCTTGAACCCAGGAGGCAGAGGTTGCAGTGAGTCAAGATCACACCACTGCACTCCAGCTTGGGCAAGAGACAGACTCCATCTCAAAAAATAAAAAATAAAAATAGCCTAGTAATGTTAGACATATAATGAATACTCAAAAAAGAAATGCTACAGTTAATCTTTTTTGGTCTTCATATGTTGAAATTCCACATAAAGCATTCAGACCTTTAGTCTAAATTCCCTATATTAACTGGCAAAA
Source organism: Homo sapiens (assembly GCF_000001405.40). Lineage (NCBI taxonomy): Eukaryota > Metazoa > Chordata > Mammalia > Primates > Hominidae > Homo > Homo sapiens. The sequence goes on from NC_000023.11 coordinate 147,397,788, forward strand.
AAAGTATTTCAAGGACATGGTAGTACATCTGCAAATGAACAAAAGCAGACTGGTTTCTTTTTTAATCTACATTTTACTTTATTTTTTGTTTTTATTTATTTTTCTGCATACATAGTAGGTGTATATATTTTGGGAGTACATAAAATGTTTTGATAAAGGCATGAAATGTGAAATAAGCACATCATGGAGAAGGGGATATCCATCCCCTCAAGCATTTATCCTTTGAGTTACAAATAATCCAATTACACTCTAAGTTATTTCAAAATGTACAATTAAGTTTTTATTGACTATAGTCACCCTATTGGGTTATCTATATTGTCCATCCATGCATCCATCCATCCATCTGTCCATCCATCTATTCATCCATCCATCTGTCCATCCATCTATTCATCCATCCTGCCATCCATCCATCCATCCATCCATCCATCCATCCATCCATCCATCCATTTATCGACTCCTTTAAAAGATATTCACAAGGCATCCATTATGTACCAGGTGGTAGGTATCCTGTGCATTGGGAATGCAGCAGTAAACAAATAGACCTTGTTCCTGCCTGCAAGAACTTAAAATCTGCTTGAAGAACTAAAGAACTAGACCCCAAATGAGTAAACTCTGAAAAATTTACAATAATAGTGGAAAGTATTAACATAAAGTAAAATTGCATGGATATAATCGATAATATTATAGACAGTTTTTTCCTTCATAGAGACAATGGTCTAGCGAGAATACGTAAATTTAAAAAGCAGTTATAATACCTTGTCATAAATGCTATGATAGGAGATGGATAAAACACTCTCGGCAGAGGATAGCAGAAACTTCCCTAAGCTGTAGAAAAGTTGGAGATCAGGCAGGAAATCTTCTCACAATGATATTTAACCATAACCAGTTGGAGAAGAGTTAGAGAAATACTCTAGGTACAGGAAAATATGTGTGCAAAGGCTGCAAGGCCAGAGGACCTGGTGCATTTAAGGAACTAAACAAAGTTTGATACAAACAGAATTTAAAAATAACTGAAGAAATAGATGAAGCTGTGGAAAGGATATGAAGATCCTGGTGAGAAAGTAGTTGAACTGAGAATCCATAGACTTTCCATAGAATTTGAGTTGAATACATATCACCCAGTGGGCTGAAACCAGGTAAAATTTTATTACATGCTCAAATGAAGACAAAGGGCAAGTATAGTAAGAGCAGTTGAGTGAGAGAATGCAAGAATAAGATGTTTTAGTCAGAGAATGAAATGACAGAATTTATATCAGAGGTTGATAAGTTATGGGTGAAAAAAAATCAGAGTGAGGCAATAGGCGTGGGGGATTAAGATGGAGGGGAAGGACCACAGATTACTGAGGATGAAGAGATAGACCAAGGGGCATATGAACAATGAAGTAATCTAGGACTATGATTAAACTAGGGACTCTTAGCTGGCGACAAGCTTTCAATGAACAGGGGAAAGTTATTAAAAGCTCATGGGTAACTGATTCAAATTGTGCTGTCCAATACTGCAACTGCCCACCATATGTGGCTACTGAGCACTTAAAATGTTTTAAGTACACCATGGTAAATACAATGTTATTTTTTAAATGAATTTTGGCTTTCTTTTTACTTGTTTAATGTGGCTACCAGAAAATTTAAAATTAGATGCGCAGTTTGCATGTCGGTTCAGATTATATTTCTAATGGACAGTGCTTGATAATAGAAAGAAACAGAGAGTGTTTTAGCTCAATAAAATGATGCATGAGGAGCCAGAAATATTTTATATATTATATAGCAATAATTGTTGATGGAATTATCTAAATATTTTGTTTTCATGTGCTTTTATTACATCATAAAGGTGTGTAGAAAATAAAGCTGCCAATACTAGTGTTAATACAATCGTGGCTAAATCGACGTAATTATCTACACCAAAATATATTTGTCCCTTAACTTGAATTGGATTACCACTGACCAATACATCATACTTGAACAAAGAGATGATTTCTTGCTACTAAATAAACAAGTTCATAGGCAGTTCCTGGAAGACCCCAAAATTTTCTGTTGCTCTGATCCTCATTGCTTTGCCCTTGGTATTGACGAGTAAGCCGATTGGCTTTTCTTTATTTGGGTGATAAGATCTGTGTCAATAATTGAGTTTATGGAGAGTAGACCAATCCAGCTGAGTAATTTGGATAAGAAAGTTCTTCTTGCAGTTTAATTTTCTAAAATTTTACACTGGGGGAAGGTAGAGCAATGTAGTCAGAGCCTATAAGACAATTGTATTTTTCCTTTTATTTTTACTCTAAAAGTCTTCTCATTCCATCATTTCCAAGATGAAGTAAAAGAACAAAAGAGCAAAGATGAGAAGCTAGAAACAGATCATTTAAAACAGTGTATAGACACAAAGAGTGATATTGTTGGAAGTTAAAACATCTATTGTTTGAAGAATCAAAGTAACTAAATAAAACTCAGCCATCCAAATGCAATGAAGTTCATAAATCCATAGAGCTTTGATAGTCTGCCATAACTTCACTAAATGAAAGTCTCTGGGATTGGGGTCAGTGAATCTGCATTTTCAACAAACACCTCAGGTGATTCTTAGGCACACTAACATATGAGAACCGCTTAGTCTAAATTGTCCATTCTACTAATAAAAAACTTAAGATACAGAAAATTTCAGTGACTTACTTAAGGTTACACAATAAGCAAGTAGCAGAACCGTGGCTCATACCCAGGTCTTCTATTTCCTACGTTAGGGATATGCTGAATAACACCACGCTGCCTTGCTCACATTATTTTGGTTACTGATCTCTATTAATGGAGTCCATATCTCCTATAATATTTTTGATGGTCTTTTTGAGCTGCTTCTTCATGTTGAGCTAGAAATGTACCAACAAATCATAAACATTCTGAGTTGAAAGTTACCATAGAAACAGAAATAAATTCTTATAAACTCTCACAACGGCATACTCATCAAATGGCCATCTTTTCTCTGCTTAAGCACCTCCAGTAACAGTGAGCGTACTACTTTCCAAGGCAGACTGTTTTCAATTTTACAGAACTCTGGACATTCAAAAGCATTTTCTCTTTGTAATTGAAATCTGTCTTCCTGAAATAGCCACCTGTGTGCCTTAAAAAGCCACACAGAACTGCTCACTCCTTCACCCATGATAGCCCTTGGCTGTTTGAAAGTAGATCTCAAATTCTACCACCCTTTTAGCACTGTCCCAAATCAGGTTTCTTTTCCATACTGTAGAAGTTTTAATTCTTCTAAACATTCTTCATGACAGGTTCCAGAATCTTTAAAGCAGATGTCGCAAAGTGGGGCCTACAGAAAAATTTGTTTTACCTGTACCGTGTTAAAAAAATAAAAAAATAAAAAAATAAAGTGACCCAGCATTTAAAAATCAGTAGATCACACACAGAAATTGAATTTGTCATCTTTCTATAAAAAGGTAGACAATTGAGCCTGTATCCCTGTGACCCCAGTCCATCAATCCCCAACTCCCCGAGTGTGCACATGTGCCTTTATATCTGAAATGCTCCTCTCATCTGTTACTTGCTTGGCTCCTGAAAGCATATAAGTTGGCTACCCATGCTGTAGACACACTTCCTGTATCGGCGTCATTTTTAAGATGTCATGCCAGAACTGAGCTAAAAACTCCAGATGTAATTTGGCCAGGAAAAAAAAAAAAAAAAAAAAGGCAGGAAGATCACCTTCCTTGTTGGAGAGTCTACGCTCTGGTACATCTGCACATGTATAGATTATCTCTTACCTGGACTTTGGCAGTGTCAGGCTAATGCAATTTTCTGATCTCTACCTCATAATCTTCCACCAGATATTTTTTTTTCAAAAATAAACTGTGTTCACATTATTCTGCTGTTTGCAAATCTTGGATTGCTCGTTGGCTTGCCATTCAAGGCTCTTTATATTTTAAAATTGCTCTTTGGCTTGCTATTCAGGGCTCTTTATACTTTAACATTTGCATTTAAATTGTTTACAGGCCTGTCTCCCTGACTATCCGTCTTATCTGTGAGGGCAACAAATGGATGTGTTATTTCCTATTTAATCTAAATTCCTTTCGTTCCTAAACCACCTATTTGTACCTACCCAGAACTGTATCTTATGTATATAAAACCTATTATTATTGTTTGCAATGCAAATCTCCATGGAAAGGAACTAAACATACTACGCATGACTACATTTTGTTATATGTGGAGTTTTAAATAAGGAATGCTTTTCAACTCATATCTGAATATTTATTATTTTAGCAATGGCTGCATTTCAAATTCAAATGGAACAAATTATATGAAAACAATATCATTTTCTCCTGAGATCAAAGTGTATTTGTCCTTAATGAAAAGCAATTATATTTAAATTATGCTATTGGAAAATATCTCAGGAAAGAAATTATCTGTAAATTAAATTATCTACAAACGGTATAAAAAACAATCATGAATGAATTTGAAAAATTAGCCAATTATAGCAAAGTAATATAATTTAGCCAGTACTCCCCAAGCCAAATGATAAGTTCCCACATGCATAGATCATTCTTAAAAATCAACAATCACGGCCGGGCATGGTGGCTCATGCCTGTAATCCTAGCACTTTGGGAGGCCGAGGCAAGCAGATCGCCTGAGGTCGGGAGTTCGAGACCAGCCTGGCCAGCATGGTGAAACCCCGTCTCTACTAAATATACAAAAATTAGCCATGCGTGGTGACAGGCGCCTGTAATCACAGCCACTGGGGAAGCTGAGGCAGGAGAATCACTTGAACCTGGGAGGCGGAGGTTGGAGTGAGCCAAGATCACGCCATTGCACTCAAGCCTGGGCAACAGAGCAAGACTCTGTCTCAAAAGAGAAAAAAAAACATCAAAAATCACTTGTATCTGCAAATAATAAACTTCAGGCCTTTTTTGACTAAAATTTTAGGTGTTTTATCAACCCTATTAGGAGAATTTCATTCTTGGGTTGGAATTTTTCTTCTACCTTGTGTATTCATGAAAATATAAGCACATGGAGTTTGAAGATGTAAAACAGAATATACCATGACTAAAATAATTTAAACAGAATCAGCATGGTGTAATAGCAAGAAACATGGACTAAGAGTCAGGACCTGGATTCTGTTTTCATTGCTATCACTTGCCACCAGTGCAGCAAACGCTTTAAATGCCACGTTTTTCAAATAACTTCCACAGATTAAAAATATATATGTATGTGCAGAATAACCAACACTCAAAAACAAGCATTCGGACTGCAAATAATAATTATTTCCATTATATCATAATGCCTATACAGGTTAATTTTTTATTTATATATTTACGATAGTGTTCAGACCAAAAATAATGAAAGCAACCTAAGATGACTTAGACCCAGAATATCTGGGCTTCAGTCCAACTTTTTCATTCACTAACTTTTGCATTCTTGGTAAGCACTCTGAGCCCTGATATTCTCATTCTCATATGGCAATAATGCCACTTACACCACAGGGTGGTTTTGAGAGTTAATAGTGGTTCATCCTGGCTGTCTGCTACCCATGCTGTAGGCACACTTCCTGTATCAGTGTCACTTTTAAGATGTCATGCTAGAACTGAGCTAAAAACTCCAGATGTAATTTTGCCAGCAAAGAAAAAAAAAAAAAAGACAGGAAGATCACCTTCCTTCTTGGAGATTCTATACTCTGATACATCTGCACATGTATAGATTATCTTTTACAAGGACTTTGGCAGTGTCATGCTGATGCAATTGTGTGTAAGTACTGACTCAAACTACAACAGTGTCTCTAGAAGTACTTTAAACATTTTTAATGTGTTTGTACATCAGCCTTACTCTAAATTACTTTCATTCCAACCATTTGGTCCTTATAAAAGTTGGAAAATTTAGACCTTCACCAACTACAAATTTCAAAATAGGTTTGGCTAGCGATCTCTAAGGTTTTTATAGAAAGCAATTTTGCCACTGGTATAAATGATTGCAGTTATTTAATGTCGGGGGCATAACTTCAAAGAACACCACTTTGTTTCATTTATCCCCAAAGAACACTTTGATCATCCGAGCTGTACAATTAGATACAGACAACTATGCGATGTAATTGAAAATATTTCTGTAAGTGATTGATGGGGAAAAAACTAACAGTTCTGCAACTTAGAGACACCTGCATTCTCCTGGGTATTTATAGTGTATTTCATTACTAGTAGAAGCTAATTTGAATACTATGGCAACAATTCAGCTCCATCTGCCTGTTAAGTTAGAAACTAAAGGATCTAAGATTTTACCTGCAAAACTAGTAAGGTGCCTATATATTTGATACTAGACCACTGGATCAGAGACAAATGCCATTTCTTACTTACAGCAGAAGTAGCAGTCGTAGCAATATCTTAGCACTAAATTCTTAATCCCCAATCTTCATGGGGTGACACTGAGAGTCAAATGTTACCTGCACATGCAATAGGTTGCATCACAGGAGAGAAACCCCAAACGCCTTTAGGCAATTCTGGCATTATGTGGTTCTAGAAAGAGAGAAACTTTATCTTTTCTCTGGGTAAGCAAATATTTATGTGGAGAAGATGATGAGGTCTTCATCTTTATTACGCTCAACTGCCTCCAGAGAGGAAGATGTTTCTGTGCTTTACTATCCTAGAATTTCTACTTATACAAACATTCTTAACTTGACTGCAAATGCTCAGAGGACTTGAATCATGCAGAAGTGAGATATTCATTGGTAATTTCTTCCCAGCACTCCCTTCCACCCATCCACTATGGTATCCAAAAAGAGTTCAAATGTTAAGTCTCAAAATAGCACACTTTCATTTTAGCTCCTTTTCTTGGGTTGTGTACATATAATAGCAAAATAAAAAAGGGTTAATTCAGGCAATGGAGGAAAAAAATACATATATATATGAAGGCAGCTCAACACAGTTAAAAACACAATGATCAGGAAGTCAGGAAAGCAAGGATCTAGCTCTGACTCTGACACCACTATCTTGTATAATCTTGGCTAAGTTACATCTCTCTGGCCCTCAGGTTCCTTATCTGTAAAACTGGAATATGGAAGAAGTTTAGACTAGATAGTTTCCAAAGTTACTTTCTGCCATCACATTCTATTCTCCTACCAGTAAATCAAATCAGTTGACTGGCATTGTATACACTGATGTTTTAACATTTTCTGCATTAGAGTCATAAGCAGATTTAATAATGAACCTATTAAATAGCTGTTGCTGATAGGAGGGGCCAAGATGGCTGAATAGAAACAGCTCCGGTCTGCAGCTCCTAGCAAGACCAATGAAGAAGGCGGGTGATTTTTGCATTTCCACTTGAGGTACCCAGTTCATCTCATTGGGGCTGGTTATGCAGTGGGTGCGACCCGTGGATAACGAACAGAAGCAGGGTGGGGCGTGACTTCACCCAGGAAGTGCACAGAGCCAGGGGACCTACCTCCCCCAAGCCAAGGCAAGTGGTGAGGGACTATGCTACCCGCCCGGGGTACTATGCATTTCCCATGAATTTTTGCAATCTGTGGATCAGGAGATTCCCTCATGAGCCTACACCACCAAGGCCCTGGGTTTCAAGCACAAAACCTGGAGGCTGTTCGGTCAGGCACTGAGCTGCAGGAGTTTTTTCATACTCCAGTGGCACCTGGACTCCACTGAGACAGGAGAACTGTGCACTCCCCTGGAAAGGGGGCTGAAACCAGGGAGCCAAGAGTCTTGCTCAGCAGGTCCCACTCCCAGGGAGCCCAGCAAGCTAAGAACCATGGGCTTGAAATTCTCACTGCCAGCACAGCAGTCTGGAGTCAGCCTGGGACAATGGAGTTAGGTGGGGGGAGGGGCAACCACCATTACTGTGGCTTTAGTAGGTGGTTTTCCTCTGACAGTGCTAAGACTGGGTTTGGACTGGGCAGAACTCACCACAGCGCAGGAAAGTAGCTGTGGCCAGACCGCTTTTCCAGATTGCTCTTCACTGTGCAGGGCACCTCTGCAGGAAATCCAGAAGTTCCAGTCAGGGGCTTACAGACAAAAGTCTCATCTCCCTGGGACACAGCACCTGGGGTTAGGGGCGGCTGTAGGGTTGCATGTTGAGCAGACTTAATCTTTCCTGTCTGCCGGCTCTGAAGAGAGTAGCTGATCCTTACAAGGGGGATGCTCCCAGCACAGTGCACCAGCTCTGCTGAGGGACAGACTACGTCCTCAAGGAGTCCCTGACCCCCGTGCCTCCTGACTGGGAGAGACCTCCCAACAGGGGTCGACAGACACCTCTTACAGGAGAGCTCTGGCTGGCATCAGGCCAGTGCCTCTCTAGGATGAAGCTTCCAGAGGAAGGAGCAGGCAGCAATCTTTGATGTTCTGCAGCCTCCACTGGTGATACCCAGGAAAACAGGGTCTGGAGTGGGCCTCCAGCAAACTGCAGCAGACCTGCACAAGACGAGCCTGACTGTTAGAAGAAAAACTAACAGACAGAAAGCAACAACAACATCAACAAAAAACACCCCCCGACAAAAACCTCATCTAAAGGTCATCAGCCTCAAAGGTGAAAGGTAGATAAATCTGTGAAGATGAGGAAAAACCAGCACAAAAACGCTGAAGATTCCAAAAGCCAGAATGCCTCTTCTCCTTCAAATGATCACAACACGTCTCCAGCAAGGGCACAAAACTGGACGGAGAATGAGATGGATGAATTGACAGAAGTAGGCTTCAGAAGGTGGGTAACAACAAATTCTGCTGAGCTAAAGGAGCATATTCTAACCAAAAGCTAGCAGAGGACAAGAAATAACTAAGATCAGAGCAGAATTGAAGGAGACAGACACACAAAAACCCTCCAAACATCATAAATCGAGAATCTGGTTTTTTGAAAAAATTAACAAATTAGATAGACCACTAGCTAGACTAATAAAGAAGAAAAGAGAGAAGCATCAAGTAGACACAACAAAGGTTACAAAGGGGATATCACCACTGACCCCGCTGAAATACAAACTACCATCAGAGAATACTACAAACACCTCTGTGCAAGTAAACTAGAAAATCTAAGAAGAAGTGGACAAATTCCTAGACACATACACCCTTCCAAGACTAAACCAGGAAGAAGTTGAATCTCTGAATAGACCAATAACAAGTTCTGAAATTGAGGCAATAATTCATAGCCTACAAACCAAAAAAAGCCCAGGAGCAGATGGAGTCACAGCCGAATTCTACCAGAGTTACAAAGAGGAGGTGGTACCATTCCTTCTAAAACTATTCCAAAGAATTGAAAAGGAGGGACTCCTCCCTAACTCATTTTATGAGGCCAGCATCATCCTGATACCAAAACCTGTCAGAGAAACAACAAAAAAATCAAACTTCAGGCCAATATCCCTGATGAACATTGATGTGAAAATCTTCAATAATATACTGGCAAACCGAATCCAGCAGCACATCCAAAAGCTTATCCACCACAATCATGTCAGCTTCATCCCTGGGATGCCAGGCTAGTTCAACAAATGCAAATCAATAAATGTAATCCATCACATAAACAGAACCAATGACCAAAAACACGTGATTATCTCAGTAGATGCAGAAAAGGCATTCAATAAAATTCAAGATCCCTTCATGTTAAAAACTCTCAATTAAGCAGATATTGATGGAACATATCTTGAAATAGTATTTGTGACAAACCCATAGCCAATATCATACTGAATGGGCAAAAGCTGAAAGAATACCTTTTGACAACCGGCACAAGACAAGGATGCCCTCTCTCACCACTCCTACTCAACATAGTATTGGAAGTTCTGGCCAGGGCAATCAGGCAAGGGAAAGAAATAAAGGATATTCAAATAGGAAAAGAGGAAGTCAAATTGTCTCTGTTTGCAGGTGACATGATTCTATATTTAGAAAACCCTATAGTCTCAGCCCCCAAACTCCTTAAGCTGATAAGCAACTTCAGCAAAGTCTCAGGATACAAAATAAATGTGCAAACATCACAAGCATTCTTATACACTAACAATAGACAAGCAGAGAGCCAAATCATAAATGAACTCCCATTTACAGTTGCTACAAAGAGAATAAAATACCTAGGAATATGGCTTACAACAGATGTGAAGGACCTCTTCAAGGAGAACTACAGACAATTGCTCAAGGAAATAAGAGAAGACATGAACAAATGGAAAAACATTCCATCCTCATAGACAAGAAGAATCAATATTGTGAAAATGGCCATACTGCCCAAAGTAGTTTATAGACTCAAAGTTATTCCCATCAAACTACCATTGACATTCTTCACAGAATTAGAAAAAAGAACTTTACATTTCATAAATGTTTTTCTTTCAAAAAAGCCTGTATAGTCAAGACAATCCTAAGCATAAAGAACAAAGCTAGAGGCATCACACTGTCTGACTTCAAACTATACTACAAGGCTACAATAACCCAAACAGCATGGTACTGCTACCAAAACAGACATATAGACCAATGAAACAGAGCAGAGACCTCAGAAATAACTCCACACATCTACAACCATCTGATCTTTGACAAACCTGAGAAAAACAAGCAATGGGGAAAGACTTCTCTAATAAATAGTGCTGGGAAAACTGGCTAGCCATATGCAGAAAACTGAAACTGGACTCCTTCCTTATACCTTATACAAAAGCTAACTCAAGACGGATTAAAGACTTAAATGTAAAACCCCAAACCATAAAAACCTTGCAAGAAAACCTAGGCAATACAATTCAGGACATAGGCATGGGCAAAGACCTCATAACGAAAAAACCAAAAGCAATTGCAACAGAAGCCAAAATTGACAAATGGGATCTAATTAAACTAAAGAGCTTCTGCATAGCAAAAGAAGCTAGCATCAGAGTGAACAGGCAACCTACAGAATGGGAGAAAATTTTTGCAATCTACCCATCTGACAAAGGTCTTATATCCAGAATCTACAAGGAACTTAAACAAATTTACAAAAAAAAAAAACCAAAAAAACAAACAAACAAACAAAAAACAAAAAAAAAAAACACAACCCCATCAAAAAGTGAGCAAAGGATATGAACAGACACTTCTCAAAAGAAGACATTTACACGGTCAACAAACACATGAAGAAAAGCTCATCACATCCCTTGTAAGTTGGATTCCTAGGTATTTTATTCTCTTTGAAGCAATTGTGAATGGGAGTTCACTCATGATTTGGCTCTCTGTTTGTCTGTTGTTGGTGTATAAGAATGCTTGTGATTTTTGTACATTGATTTTGTATCCTGAGACTTTGCTGAAGTTGCTTATCAGCTTAAGGAGATTTTGGGCTGAGACGATGGGGTTTTCTAGATAAACAATCATGTCGTCTGCAAACAGGGACAATTTGACTTCCTCTTTTCCTAATTGAATACCCTTTATTTCCTTCTCCTGCCTGATTGCCCTGGCCAGAACTTCCAACACTATGTTGAATAGGAGAGGTGAGAGAGGGCATCCCTGTCTTGTGCCAGTTTTCAAAGGGAATGCTTCCAGTTTTTGCCCATTCAGTATGATATTGGCTGTGGGTTTGTCATAGATAGCTCTTATTATTTTGAAATACGTCCCATCAATACCTAATTTATTGAGAGTTTTTAGCATGAAGGGTTGTTGAATTTTGTCAAAGGCTTTTTCTGCATCTATTGAGATAATCATGTGGTTTTTGTCTTTGGCTCTGTTTATATGCTGGATTACATTTATTGATTTGCGTATATTGAACCAGCCTTGCATCCCAGGGATGAAGCCCACTCGATCACGGTGGATAAGCTTTTTGATGTGCTGCTGGATTCGGTTTGCCAGTATTTTATTGAGGATTTTTGCATCAATGTTCATCAAGGATATTGGTCTAAAATTCTCTTTTTTGGTTGTGTCTCTGCCCGGCTTTGGTATCAGAATGATGCTGGCCTCATAAAATGAGTTAGGGAGGATTCCCTCTTCTTCTATTGATTGGAATAGTTTCAGAAGGAATGGTACCAGTTCCTCCTTGTACCTCTGGTAGAATTCGGCTGTGAATCCATCTGGTCCTGGACTCTTTTTGGTTGGTAAACTATTGATTATTGCCACAATTTCAGAGCCTGTTATTGGTCTATTCAGAGATTCAACTTCTTCCTGGTTTAGTCTTGGGAGAGTGTATGTGTCGAGGAATGTATCCATTTCTTCTAGATTTTCTAGTTTATTTGCGTAGAGGTGTTTGTAGTATTCTCTAATGGCAGTTTGTATTTCTGTGGGATCGGTGGTGATATCCCCTTTATCATTTTTTATTGTGTCTATTTGATTCTTCTCTCTTTTTTTCTTTATTAGTCTTGCTAGCGGTCTATCAATTTTGTTGATCCTTTCAAAAAACCAGCTCCTGGATTCATTAATTTTTTGAAGGGTTTTTTGTGTCTCTATTTCCTTCAGTTGTGCTCTGATTTTAGTTATTTCTTGCCTTCTGCTAGCTTTTGAATGTGTTTGCTCTTGCTTTTCTAGTTCTTTTAATTGTGTTGTTAGGGTGTCAATTTTGGATCTTTCCTGCTTTCTCATGTGGGCATTTAGTGCTATAAATTTCCCTCTACACACTGCTTTGAATGCGTCCCAGAGATTCTGGTATGTTGTGTGTTTGTTCTCATTGGTTTCAAAGAACATCTTTATTTCTGCCTTCATTTCGTTATGTACCCAGTAGTCATTCAGGAGCAGGTTGTTCAGTTTCCATGTAGTTGAGCGGCTTTGAGTGAGATTCTTAATCCTGAGTTCTAGTTTGATTGCACTGTGGTCTGAGAGACAGTTTGTTATAATTTCTGTTCTTTTACATTTGCTGAGGAGAGCTTTACTTCCAACTATGTGGTCAATTTTGGAATAGGTGTGGTGTGGTGCTGAAAAAAATGTAAATTCTGTTGATTTGGGGTGGACAGTTCTGTAGATGTCTATTAGGTCCGCTTGGTGCAGAGCTGAGTTCAATTCCTGGGTATCCTTGTTGACTTTCTGTCTCGTTGATCTGTCTAATGTTGACAGTGGGGTGTTAAAGTCTCCCATTATTAATGTGTGGGAGTCTAAGTCTCTTTGTAGGTCACTCAGGACTTGCTTTATGAATCTGGGTGCTCCTGTATTGGGTGCATATATATTTAGGATAGTTAGCTCCTCTTGTTGAATTGATCCCTTTACCATTATGTAATGGCCTTCTTTGTCTCTTTTGATCTTTGTTGGTTTAAAGTCTGTTTTATCAGAGACTAGGATTGCAACCCCTGCCTTTTTTTGTTTTCCATTTGCTTGGTAGATCGGAGAACTACAAACCACTGCTCAAGGAAATAAAAGAGGATACAAACAAATGGAAGAACATGCCATGCTCATGGGTAGGAAGAATCAATATCGTGAAAATGGCCATACTGCCCAAGGTAATTTACAGATTCAATGCCATCCCCATCAAGCTACCAATGACTTTCTTCACAGAATTGGAAAAAACTACTTTAAAGTTCATATGGAACCAAAAAAGAGCCCGCATCGCCAAGTCAATCCTAAGCCAAAAGAACAAAGCTGGAGGCATCACACTACGTGACTTCAAACTATACTACAAGGCTACAGTAATCAAAACAGCATGGTACTGGTACCAAAACAGAGATATAGATCAATGGAACAGAACAGAGCCCTCAGAAATAATGCCGCATACCTACAACTATCTGATCTTTGACAAACCTGAGAAAAACAAGCAATGGGGAAAGGATTCCCTATTTAATAAATGGTGCTGGGAAAACTGGCTAGCCATATGTAGAAAGCTGAAACTGGATCCCTTCCTTACACCTTATACAAAAATCAATTCAAGATGGATTAAAGATTTAAACGTTAGACCTAAAACCATAAAAACCCTAGAAGAAAACATAGGCATTACCATTCAGGACATAGGCGTGGGCAAGGACTTCATGTCCAAAACACCAAAAGCAATGGCAACAAAAGCCAAAATTGACAAATGGGTTCTAATTAAACTCAAGAGCTTCTGCACAGCAAAAGAAACTACCATCAGAGTGAACAGGCAACCTACAACATGGGAGAAAATTTTCGCAACCTACTCATCTGACAAAGGGCTAATATCCAGAATCTACAATGAACTCAAACAAATTTACAAGAAAGAAACAAACAACCCCATCAAAAAGTGGGCGAAGGACATGAACAGACACTTCTCAAAAGAAGACATTTATGCAGCCAAAAAACACATGAAAAAATGCTCATCATCACTGGCCATCAGAGAAATGCAAATCAAAACCACTATGAGATATCATCTCACACCAGTTAGAATGGCGATCATTAAAAAGTCAGGAAACAACAGGTGCTGGAGAGGATGTGGAGAAATAGGAACACTTTTACACTGTTGGTGGGACTGTAAACTAGTTCAACCATTGTGGAAGTCAGTGTGGCGATTCCTCAGGGATCTAGAACTAGAAATACCATTTGACCCAGCCACCCCATTACTGGGTATATACCCAAAGGACTATAAATCATGCTGCTATAAAGACACATGCACACGTATGTTTATTGCGGCATTATTCACAATAGCAAAGACTTGGAACCAACCCAAATGTCCAACAATGATAGACTGGATTAAGAGAATGTGGCACATATACACCATGGAATACTATGCAGCCATAAAAAATGATGAGTTCATGTCCTTTGTAGGGACATGGATGAAATTGGAAACCATCATTCTCAGTAAACTATCGCAAGAACAAAAAACCAAACACTGCATATTCTCACTCATAGGTGCGAATTGAACAATGAGATCACATGGACACAGGAAGGGGAATATCACACTCTGGGGACCGTGGTGGGGTGGGGGGAGGGGGGAAGGGATAGCATTGGGAGATATACCTAATGCTAGATGACGAGTTAGTGGGTGCAGCGCACCAGCACGGCACATGTATACATATGTAACTAACCTGCACAATGTGCACATGTACCCTAAAACTTAAAGTATAATAATAAAAAAAAAAAAAAAAAGAAAACACAACTTAAGCTGACTTTAAGACAAAAAAAAAAAAAAAAGAAAAGCTCATCATCACTGGTCATTAGAGAAATGCAAATCAAAACCACAATGAGATACCATCTCACAGCAGTCAGAATGACGGTTATTAAAAAGTCAAGAAACAATAGATGCTGGCGAGGCTGTGGAGAAATAGGAATGTTTTTACACGGTTGGTGGGAATGTAAATTAGTTCAACCATTGTGGAAGACAGTGTGGCGATTCCTCAAGGATCTAGAACTAGAAATACCATTTGACCCAGCAATCCCATTACTGGGTAAATACCCAAAGGATTATAAATCATTCTACTATAAAGACACATGCACATGTATGTTTATTGAAGCACTATTTACAATAGCAAAGACATGGAACCAACCCAAATTCCCATCAATGATACGCTGGATAAAGAAAATGTGGGACATATACACCATGGAATACTATGCAGCCATAAAAAGAATGAGAACATGTCCTTTGCCGAGACATGGATAAACCTGGAAGCCATCATCCTCAGCAAACTAACACAGGAAGAAAACCAAACACCAGATATTCTCACTCATAAGTGGGTGTTGAACAATGAGAACACACGGACACAGGGAGGGGAACAGCACACACTGGGGCCTGTCAGGGGTGGAGGGCAAGGGGAGGGTGAGCATTAGGACAAATACCTAATGAATGTGGGGCTTAAAACCTAGATGACAGGTTGATAGGTGCAACCAACCACCATGGCACATGTATTCCGATGTAACAAACCTGCATGTTCTGTATGTGTATCCTGGAACTTAAAATGAAATAAAATAAAATAAAATAGCTGTTGCTGACAGTTAGTATACTAAAACAAAACAAAATTTATGGGAAGGATTTCAGTAAATATTTCTTGAATAAATAAAAATAAATGAAATATATTTTGAAAAATTTATGACTGTGTCTACATGAAATTGACTATTTGAATATTTGGAATATTTAGTACTTCAGATATTCCAAATACGAAATTCTATATATCATGTGTGACTTTTTTCAAGTATTAAAATGGCATATTCCAAACATCGATATATACTTGACATTAAAATTAAGTTGAATATAATAGTTAAATAAAAGATGCTTAATGCTTATAAGGCCAACTACCAATGTGCTATATAAATATTGTGATATAAAGTAATTTTATGTGACACAAATTTGTGTGTACTTTTTGTTAATTCACCCGTCTGGGGATACGTTCTGGTCTATTCTTTTCCTATTATCCACCCCATATTTCACATATGCTTATCATCACGAGAGTATGACTAGGACATATTAAGCATTTGATAAAATAAAGCCTAAAGCCTATTTTAGGCTATGCTGTGTGCTTCTTAAAAATAGGTATCATTGGGTGTTGCAACTAGGTAGTTTAGAGAGCAGATAGCATAATGCTGTACCTATGGAAAAGATTCAGTATAACACAGCATACATTTACTGAACTTCCACACTTTGCTGAAGGTGCAAAGATGTCTAAAATGTGCTTTCCAGGAGGTCACGATTTACATGTTGATTGATTAGAATTGTAGAGCGAGGTCCTACTAAAATGCATATATCTTATGTATATACCCTGTAGTTACAATTTCAGTTTTTAAAAGTACCCTTTTATTGATTCTGTTCAAATATAATAGCACATACCCAAAATTAAAATATAAATTGCAGTAGATTCTGCTGGTCACAATATTTCAAGCCCTTTAAAATCCAAGAATGAATGCCAGATGATTTCATACTTCAGGATAAAATCAAGATGATAAAAGATGAAGGCTCCTTTAATGTTATCCAACTTGCCATAGGTATGGATTTTTTTTTTTAAATAGATAATTGTGTGTATTTGTGTGGCTCAAGGTAACTTCAGATAAACACTTTTAATTCCATGACTAGCTCTAGGATTTAAGAACAAAACTATGCTACTGAAATTATCTATTCTACAGGCTTCATTAGAGATCACATTGCTAATTTATTCTTGTATATAAAGTTTGAATAACTAGGTCTGTGGGATGTATTCCTTCTGAGATTAATGTGATAGCCCATCTACTTTTCAGAACTGGTGACTTGGCAAATTTATTTTGCCTGTGCAAACTAGAGAAATAAAGTGGGAGAAGTAGATTTCTTTCTGTCTTTCCTTATTCCAAATGCCTTTCCTCTATTCAATTCCTAAATCTGTATTTCAATTTCATTTATATGCTTTAAAGCAAAGAGAGACAGGGAAAGAGAGATATATATACATATATATATATATAGAGAGAGAGAGAGAGAGAAACTAAAAATGTCAAAGTCAAGGATAAATATAGTGATTAATTCTCACACCTAGGACTTTCAAAATAACTTATCTAAGTACTATGCAGGTATAGACTATAAATATATCAGATTCAGAAGGTCTGAAATAATTTTAAAAGAAGAGATTTGTTTATGCTTATAGAGGATTTCTGTGATAACAGTTTAACAATACTCAGTTTTGTTTTCTCTTTTTTCCAATCCAATCCGGTTTCTGCCATGGAATACTAATATAAAAATGTTTCTTCTTAGGCATAGTCCAACGCACATTTAAGAGTTTTTGAACTTTAGTTTCAAAGATAAACTATTAATGTAATTATTCTTAATGCTATCAGTAAAATTCAGGAAAAATGCTATACAAGGTGATCTACTTCAGCTATCTTGTATTAGTTTCTTACTGCTTCTGTAACAAATTACCACCAGGATAACAGCTTTTGTTTGAAGAATGGGAGTTTCCTGTCTTACAGCTCTGTAGGCCAGAAATCCAAAATGAGTCTCAAAGAGATAAAAATCAAAGTCCCAGAAAGGCTGCATTTTTTTCTGGAAGCTCTAGGGAAGAATCTATTTCTTGCCTTTCCCAACTTCTAAAGGTTGTTGGCATTCCTTGGATACGTGCCCTGCATCACTCCAGTTTCAGCTTCTGGCATCACAACTCTGTTTCTAGCTGACCCTCCTCCTTTCCTCTTATAAGAACCCTTGGGATTATAATAGAACAACCCAGAAAATCCAGGATAATCTCCTCATCTAAAACTTCCTAATCACATCTGCAAAATCATTTTTGCCATATTAGGGAACATATTCACAGATTTCAGGGATGGGGGCATGAATGGCTCTGCAGGGAACTATTCAGCCTACTATATAACTTTAGGGTAGGGACCTGACGCAAGATACGGAGATAGGCATGGAGAGGCAGATTTCTAGGGGCCTTGTAGGAGGTGTTACTGGGTTTAAGATTTATCCCTCAAACAAGGAGAACTTAGTAATGAGTTTTAAGCAAAGGAAAGGCATGATCAAATAGATATTTTCAAAAAGTTATTAAATATAGAAAAATATCAGAGTCATGAGAGTGCAGACAAACATTACTGTGGTTGATTTTACTGAACTTGATAGCTACTGGAATTTAGGGTAAGAGAGAGAAGGAAGAGTGAATGACTATATGCTGCTGGCTTATGTGGGGGAAGGAAATGCTATTAATTGAGGTAAGGAATACAGAGGTAATTAAATTGGAGGTGTACTCGAGATAATCACTTAATTTTTTTGTTTATACAGTTTTTCATTGGTCAGAAAAAAAAAACTTGGACATAGTATTCAGACAATGGATTGAAAAAGTCAAGATTTAAAGAATATTAGAGCTGGAAAATTTCTTAGTATATCTCTTTAACATTTTCTAGATAAGGAAACCGGTGGGCAGAAGAGAAAAGTGCCTGCATATACATCATGTACAAACAGCCAATTTCCTCCAATAATTACAGAATTTTCAGGGTAAATTATGGCTAGTTTGTCACTGTCAAACTTATGACTTAAAGGACACCAAATATATATTTTTATTGTTTGGTTTAATTTGCCTTTTTTTCTCCCCTGCAAAAATTTTAGTGCATACATTTTATAGAAGAAAGCTAACTTTAAAATATTGCTTACATCTCAAAAGCAATTCACCTTGTTGATTCGGTGGCTAAAATATATGAAATTCAAGTCCTAATAATCTTCCTTTATAAACGTAGAGGAAGTCACAAGACGTTCAATGACAGGATTGAGCCAGGCATCAAACCCAGATCTCCTCATCTCTGCACTTCTGTTACATCACACTTTGGCTTCCTAGAAGCCAGAGTTTTTAACTAGTAAAAAGATACTAAGAGCGCAGCCTCTTTTTTTTTTTCTTTCTTTCTCCTCCTCAACATACCCACAGACACCATCATCTGCAGAGGCATAGGGCGCCAAGAGAAGAGTTAGGTGCAGGATGCTTTCAGTTGCACAGCAGCTTCTAATGTTGCTCCTTTCTTTCAAAACTCATGAGTTTGTTTCTTAATTTTTCAGTGATTTTCTCCAAGTAGGCTTCAAAATCAAACACTGGGAAAGCAATTCTCCTCTTACACCAGTTATAACTTTAGCTGGAGAAAAGAATCTAGGAAAGGGGGTGACTGTTGAGGGATACAAAAATTGTTTATCCTTTGCCTGAGAAGGATTGTTAATCCTTAGACATTCCCAGATCTGAAGAGACAATTTATGGAAAATCTCTTGTAATTTCCAGGGTGAGTGAAATATACACAAGCCACTATGCTTTGCAAACCAATTGCATGTTGTGGAACTGCCTTAGAAGCTCCAAAATGGCCATCAGCAAGTAAATTTTTTCATAGACTACTGCAGAATTCACAATGGGCATAGCCAGTTGCTGTGTGAAGGTTATGGAGGGGCTCAGTATGACATCGTAGACAGGTAAAGGTAATTTTCCATAATCGTATGTTTCATCAAATAAAAGCCAAATGGAAATAACTGAAAATGCTCAATTTCCAAGTTAAAGAAGAAGTTTTCTGTGTGCTATTTCAGTTTTTGAAGATGCAAAGCACAGACAGCAGAGCTGAAAAAAAGGAAAGAGAGAGAGTGCAGTATTTCCCAAAGTATGTTCTGCAGAACATGAGTCCAGGGACATTCTCTGGGGGAAGGTTTCTATGATCAAGTTTCTGGAATACTTTAGCTGCAGCAGCAGGAGGCATGATCATCCTAACAAATGTCAATAACTACCAACTTTAAGGGCTTACTATCGGCCAGGCATTATGCTGAGTACTTCATATGCATCACGTAATCTAATTTATGCAGCAATGCTATCAGGTAAGTATTATCTCATCCCTATTTCAAATAATGAAACAGCACAGAGAGATTAAGTGATTTACCTAAAGTCACATAGCTAATGCTCAGCACAGTGCGTTAAAAGCTCTGGGAAGCTGTGCAGAAAATAAGCCTGCACTATTTTGCCCAAACTTATTTGACTCAAAAGCCATTTATATACAATCAATATTAACACACGGAAATGTATCATTAAACAGTAATCCAAAGCATTCACATGCCCACATATTTTTCCTAGGTAAAAATTTTTCAAAACTAAAAATATTTGAAAATACAGTATATGATAAACTATATTTTACTATAATTGACATTAACCTCAGCAGGAAAAAGTTGGAGATAGACCTTCGGATTCCTAAGAGGTTTAGTAGTAAGTGGCCAACAGAAATAGAAATTCATTTAGTTGTACCAAGAGAATGTCAGATGACACATCCTTAATGATGGGGGTGAGGTGGAACAAGGTCTGAAGAACTCAGAAAAGTGCGCCATGGAAAAAAGAGTTAGCTCTAAAACATTTCCAGGCCAATGATCTATGCAGCCTGTCAAGTAAGAACATGTTTTCTCCTCTTAAAGCTCTCCTCAGTGTATTCCAACCTTGAGGAAGGATATGAAAAAGAACGAGAAATGAAGCCTCCTATACCCACCCTCTATCCATGACTGTAGGCTTCCCACTACAAAGTCCTAGAAAAAGGAGATGGGAAAGTTCTAAATTTGAACTTTGATATGCCAATTATTCTATGAAAATTGACATTATAATTTCTGAATTTACATAGTGCTTGATGACAAAAGTGATAATCAGCTTTTATTTACCTAAGGATAATCCGAAAAGTAGTGGGACTATCTAGAGTTCTTTTCTAGTTGAAGAGAAATAACACACCCGTTAAATTTAAAAAATCAGTAAGAGGCAAAAAAAAAAAGGAAAGTTGTTTTGTTATTTCATACCATAAGTAGATCCTGTTCAATGCAATAGTATGTGTGTATATATATATACACACACACATATAATTATACGTATAAACATTAATATATTCTGCGCAATATTGTTGTGGTTCAGTAATAGACTCAAATCTTTCCTTAGTTGTGGCTTTTTTTAGCTATATCTTTAAATCTTTTTAACCATTATTCTTTCTTTTACTTTATTCTAGAAGACCTATTACATCTGGGTGATATAAAACATGGCAGCTGAAAAGCCATATATCCTCTCCAGAGTCAGCTTCAACATCTGATTTAGTCTCTACAAGCCATGGTTCTACTTGGGTACCTGACTATCCATTTTCTCTGAGCTTCTTCTTTTTTGCCATTCCAGATCTAATAAATCGTCTATATCTTACTTTTGTTGCCACAATGCACATCAGCTGTTCCAGCATAGAATAAGTACACAATACCTTTTGTGAACAAATTCAGTTATATGAATGAATCTTTCTACTCAAGCTTTAAGTCTCGGTTTTAAGTATCCATTTCTCCAGAAAGCCTTTCCTGACCACCCTGCCCCAATACTTAGATAATTCCTCTCTTCTGTTCCCTTCTAGAAATTTATACCTCTAGTACTGCCTATATCACATCTAACCCTTTAGTTACTAAACTACTTATGAAGCTAGAGTTACTATTTGTTGAGTACTTAATATGTGTGTCAGGTATACTGTTTCTTCTTTCACATACATTGGCTCATTTAATCCTCAGTAAGATCCATTTACCAAGAAGAAATTGAGGCTCAGAGAGGCAAATTAACCAGTCTATCTGGTGTGTAAAAGAGTTGGTGTGTTAGTCAGTGTTCTTTAGAGAAATATAATCGATAGTCTATAATGTAGATATAGGAATAGATGTTTTTATAGATATCTCTATGTATATACACACATATATACATATATACACATACATATATATTTAGATATCTCTATGTATACACACACATATATGCATGTAGATGTGTAGCTATATCTATATAATATATAGATATATGTAATATATAGATACATATGTAATTATATTCTATAGCTTCATATCTATATCTATCTAATTACATATATGTGTATATATATGAGAGAGAGAGAGAAGGGGGGAGAGAGAGAGAGAAGGGGGAGAGAGAGAGAGAAAAGAGGGGAGAGAGAGAAAAGGGGGGAGAGAGAGAAGGGGGAGAGAGAGAAGGGGGAGAGAGAGAGAAGGGGGGGAGAGAGAGAGAGAGAGAGAGAGATAGATGTTGGCAAGTTACAATTCCATAGGGCAAGCCAGAGGCTGGAAATCCAAGTAAGAGTTTATGTTGCAGTTTTAGTCTGAATTCCACAGGGAATCTGGCTGGAAATGCAGGCAGGGCTTGTATGTTGTATTACTGAGGCTGAATTTCTTCTTCTTTGGGAAATTTCCGTCTTTGCTCTTAGGGTCTAAAGTCAACTGATTTAAAGGTTAATTGCACCAAAAAAAAAAACTTCACAGCAAAATCTAGGTTTGCGTTTGACCAAACAACTGGGCATTGTAGCCTAGCCAAGTTGACACATAAAGTTCTCCATCACACTTGGGACTGAAATCCAGGTTTGACTCAGAAATCTCCACCCTTTACCAGTATATTATGCTGCTCTCATGAGGACAAGGTGTGCCTCAGTCATCTCCATGTCTCCAGTGCCTACTGTTGAACCTAGTAAAGAGTAAGTCCTTAGTAACTATGTGTTCAACAAATAAATACACCTGTATTGAAATAGTCTTCTGAAACTTTGAAAGGATTTGAGAAAGAAGTAATGAGTAAGTCTGATGTTAAGTATTGAATACACTGAAAATTTTAAAAAAATAAAATTGGTATAAAAATAGTTCTGCAAATATTGGAGACAACGTGAGATTTATAAATAAAGAACTAGTAAAAATATAACAAAGAAGTGAAACATACTGTAGATGTTCTGATTGTAAAAGTAATCAATAATAAATCCAGAAAGACAGATCAACAAAAGTAAGAACAAAAGGAAATCACTAGGCTACTCCTTTCAATAGCCTAGTCGGTGAAGCTCTGCAAATCCTTCTGTGAAAATCAAGTTTTGACTCTATTTAGACTACCCCCCAAAAGTAATGTTGATAAGATTTAAAACATCAGATGGCCACTTACTAGTTTCTATGAAACACCAACTTTTCAGCAAAATTCAAACACATCATCTTACAAAGCTTGTGTACTGTTGTTAAACCATATCAAAGATCTTTAGGAATAAAAAGATTCGATAAATGGAATATTAGCCCCTGAGGAGACACACTGAATGATGAAGGTTATGGTCAACTGAAATCAATGGAGACAGCAGATCACAGAAGCCTCAAATGCCTAAGCCAAATATTCTTTCTGATCTGTTTGAGTACAGGAACTCATGGGAGCATGTGAAAAGAATTTCAAGTAAATGTATCATTAAAAGTATTATACTGGCAGATGGCTTATGTTAAAAAAAAAAATTGGCCATGACTCAGAACTGCAAACATGCACAGCTCCAACTTTCTCCCTCTACTGGGTTCCAAATTCAAATTAGAAATTTATTGCACTTTCTTTATTCCTTGCCCATATTAATGGCACAGATAAAAGAAATGTTGCTTTCTTGTTAATTGAGGTTAATAAAACACTGTGGCCTACTTACGTCAATGTCCAGAGCATCTTAAGTCAAACCATGAAAGTAGCGACAAAGTAGTTTCTTGTATAATTTTAACTGCTTTCATCCTTTTATCAGAGACAATCTGGGAGTAAAACAAGTAGATAACTTGACTCTGTTGAAACCAAGCCATGGGAACAGTCCAGTGAAACAAGATGAGATTAATGTCAGCCAAGGCGCTAAGCAACAAATGTCCGTGTTCTGATAAGAATAAAATGTATAAACTAACAGTATCTACAATTATTTTGCCTCCTCAAGTGTTTCACCTCCTTTCATTAAAACTTGCATTGTAGAAATTAATTAGCAAAGATTGTCTTCCTAATCTCTATTGGGAAAAGGAAAGTTAAGAAAAATTATTAGAATGATTAAGAAAACCATTCCTTTTAAGAGGGATCATTTATCCTCCTTATGTACCTTTTCAGTGCCTTGGGGTGTTAATCTACATGTGTGACATTATTTTCACCATTATTTGTAAACTTTCTCCAATATTCATTTCTCTACACTTCAGAGATTGGTATCCTCAGTAACTATCTCAAGGTCTTAATGTCGCATTTAGAAACACTCCTAACAACATCACAGTCCTTCATCTTTACCTAGTAATCTGCTGCATTAACATAAGATCATCTTCCTGAATTCTCTAGCACTGTTGAAGATGCTGCCATCCATCCATTTGATTAGTCACAAATATTCAGTGCATCCTGATGACTTTTATTCCTTCCCCTACCAAACCCAAGACTTCACTAACTTCCATTGACTCTACCTCTGTAATATCAGCACTGTTAGCATTTAAAAGGTATCAGTTTATTGATGTCTAATTGAAGAGTCTTTCAGTCAACATTGCTGGAACATTTTCATTAATTATATACCTTTATAACATTAAAAAGTATCTGTTCAATACTTTATAAGATTCTATGTTTTCTAATAACATAACTACTATTTCTACGCTTATACACACTGTATGAATAGTATTGTGCTCTTTGACAAATTTTTTTCTTCTACTTGTTTACAAATATCTACAGGGTTTACACATTTTTTACATTTAATGGAAATGTATCATTGTACTGTTACATTAGCTGACCTTTCGATATGCTCCAGACTATGTAAAACTGTCAGTTTCGGTATCTGTAAATAAGAGATAGTCTCCATCCTATCCCCAACCACTAAAAGCCGTTTTGGCTATGCCCATGGCTAGTAGGAAATGCTGAAGAAGCAGCAACCTCATGGAACAGATCTCAACCTATGACTCCCAGCAATTAGACTCTCCACACACCATCACACAGACAGCATCGTTCTGAGGTGCATCATGACATATTGTCATAGTTTTCCATGGAACAGCTTTAGTCACCCTCAGTAGTAGCTGCTTGATAATGCATCTTTTGCCTTCCCTGTTTCATGTCCATACTTTCCTACTGATGATCATTTCCCTCCCAAATAAACTAATTTTACTTGAATCCTAGCCTCTGGATCTATTCCCTATGAAAACTGAACCTAAGATACTATACTATCATTATTTTAACAATTCCTCAAACATATGAATTTTTGTGATTTCCAAATTGTTATTATAGATTGTGCAGATATAAGTATCATTGTACAAAAGAGCATTTTATCTTCCTTTTTAGTCACTTTGTTGATCTGTTTCCAAAAACGGGATTCCTGGGTCAAAGTATATCTATAATTATCTATTCTCTTTGAATTCCATATTACAAACTGGGAAAATTATAACAACTTCCAAACTGCCAGTAAGTCCTGTATACTTGATTTATTATAACACTACTACAGGAACTTGTGAGTGTTATTTTTATTTTTTTGTTAATTTACTCAATATGTGGTTATACCTACCTATGTCTCTCAGGTCTCTAAATTATCTGAGGGCAGGAATAGTGTTGTTCTTGTCAGTGCTCACTGTTATATCCCCATTATCTGATGCATAATTGGCATTCAAGAAACATTTATGTAATGGACAAATTAGATACTCTTAGTTATTTATACTGGAAATACTTTGATTATCATTAATAAACTAGTAAATATTTCTAAGATAGCAAACTGGCAAAAAGGTAAAACAAGTATTCTTTTGACCCTGTCAACTCTCATGCTAACCTCTAAGTAGATCATGTAACAAAAAGTATAAATTAGATGGGGAATGATTTTGTAAGTAAATACAGATAATGTAGATATCCGACAGAAAGAACTGAATCAGGCCATTACAACCTTACACACAGACACAAACACTTCTGTGAGGACATCTGCTCAGCAACTGCCTGTCTAACTTCAGACTGGTACCACCCTTGTTACTGAGGTCACAATTCAGCCCATACCAACGGTCATTACATCCCTTGGAATTGAGAAAATCCTTTCAGGAAAGAATGTAAAGGAAAAAAAGAGATGAACGAAATCATGAAGAACTGCAATATTTAGAAGAAAAAGTGCCATCAAAGCAACTAAAATTAAATATCAAGTAAGACAATTAGGGGACTATAGCATTATAGAAGCCAAGAGAGGGAACTATTTCAAGTAGGGAGTGGTCAACACTCACACAAAGATTGAGTAAAATGAGGATTGGGACATGTGTTTTAAGTTTGGTTACAAGGAAAGAGTTTGTGATTTTGGCTAAACCTGCTTCAATGGAGTGGTATAAGCAAGAGGATGGCTGCATTGGGTTCAACAGAAAATGTGAGATGAAAATGGAGACAAGAAGTTTGAAAATATTATAGCTCAGTCAAATGGTATTTCTGGTTCTAGATCCTTGAGGAATCGCCACACTGTCTTCCACAATGGCTGAACTGATTTACACTCCTACCAACAGTGTAAAAGCATTCCTATTTCTCCAAATCCTCGCCAGTAAATGTTGTTTCCTGAGTTCTTAACAATCACCATTCTAACTGGAGTGAGATGGTATCTCAGTGTGGTTTTGATTTGCATTTATCTAATGAGCAGTGATGGTGAACTTTTTTCATATATTTTTTGGCCACATAAATGTCTTCTTTTGAGAAGTGTCTGTTCATATCCTGACACAGGCACACGCATGTTTATTGCAGTACTATTTATAATAGCAAGGACATGGAACCAACCCAAATGCCCATCAATGATAGACTGGATATAGAAAATGTGGCACATATACACCATGGAATACTATGCAGCCATAAAAAGAAGCAGTTCATGTCCTTTGCAAGGACATGGATGAAGTTGGAAGCCATCATCCTCAGCAAACTAACACAAGAACAGAAAACCAAACACCGTATGTTCTTGCCCATAAGTAGGAGTTGAACTTGAGAACACATGAACACAGGGAGGGGAATATCACACACTGGGGCCTGTTGGGGTGGGTGGAGGGCAAGGGGAGGGAGAGCATTGGAACAAATATCTAATGCATGTGGAACTTAAAACCTAGATGATGGGTTGATAGGTGCAGCAAACCACCATGACACATGTATACCTATGCAACAAACTTCCATGTTCTGCACACGTATCCCAGAAGTTAAAGTAAAATAAAAAAGAAAAAGAAAAAAAAAGTGAGAGACCAAAAAAAAGAAAGTATTACAGCTCATTTTTATGTTAACAAAAATAATAAATTTTAAGAGGAAGTTTTGATAATAGACTTAATTAGCCTTGTGAAAGCAAGAGAGGGTGGGATCCAGAATGCAAGTAGAGGAGTTGGCTTTTGATAAGAGAAACTCATTTCTTTCTGTTGTAATTAGATGGAGGGGGAAAAAAGGATATGACTACAGATTATATTTTTGTAGGCTTGGTGGTAGGGAAATGAGCAATGCCTCTGATTATTTCAGTTTGAAACAAAGGCATCAGCCAAGAGGGAGGGGCGGGGGAATGTATAGGTGAGACTTGAGGGGTAAACAGAGTACCTGGAAGCTTGAAATACTTGTCTACATATGGAATTTACTGTGCTCACTTCTATTTCACCACATTGTCAGCTAACTCATAGGCAGTGTCTACCTGCTTCCCTGCAGGGCACTGATACACTGTAAATTGGTCCTTCGGGCTGTATAAGTAGAGGGAAAAGCTTGATTGAGAGCCTTTAAAACAAGTAAGGTAATAAAAGGAAAACAATTAAAAACTTTTATTGCATTCGAAAACAGTAACTTCCAAAGCAGTTCAATTGAAACCACATTTATTGAGTTAACAAATCATGAGTTAAAAACAATTTAATTTTTAAAGACTTTCATTCGGTTCAAAAAAATAGTAAAACTACTTTATTAATTTCATTGTTCTGAAGTCAGTGTTTTGGAACTCAGTAAAAGTGTTTTTATTATTTTAATTTCCCTAAGCTTTCCTCCACATTCAGGCCCCCTTTTCTAACAAAGCTGGCCCAAATATAAATGGGGCAGATTCTATATATGAGGATAAACATTGCTCATGTATTTTTCAGACATTTAAGTGTTCTTTTCTAATCTCACCTTCAAAAATCTTGTTTGTGATTAGTTCATTTAGACCTCTATCACATACCATTAAAAAATACACACAAACATATGTACACACACACACACATATATATACACAATTATTAGAAATTTATCAATCTGGAGCTATTCAGGAGACATACAGAAACCACATTTGTAATTTGAAAAATAAAAAGTATATATAATAATTGTCACATCGTTAACTAATACTAGTTAATTACTAAAAGGGGTAAAGAAGGATTCTAGGGCTGAGGGAGCTGCAAGGTACATGGAAACTTCGAAGAAGCCCTCTCCAAGGCTGAGATTCAGTCCTGAGTGAGGTGATACGACTACCAGAGAAACACACAGCACGCAAGTGGGGAAGAGACTTGTCAGAAGTTTAAAGCTACCGCTGAACCTCAGAAGCAATCCATCGCTGGGGGGCCGAGAAACTTGCTGGAGAGCATAGTCCACAGCTGAACTATGAAGACGACTGCTGTGGTGGAAAAAAATCATGCCAGAAGATGTGGAGTACTGCTGATCAGAGAAAGCTACTAAGCTTAAAGCGACTGTAACTTGGGACACTGATCCCAATGGAAGACAAAACACAGAAATAAGGCAAACTTCTTCCTTGCCTTGCCTTGCAATGTCCCCCCAGCGTCTTCTACTGGTAAAACCTAACAACAAGCCAGCTGGCAAAGGAGAAACATCTCACAGTTCTGATTCAGTAAAAAAAAGGAAGGCAAAGTGTGGAGTCAGAGACAAGAGAAAATGAATTCATAATTATTACATAAAGCTACTTCCTCTCAGCTCCAAATCCATAATTCTATACTGTTCTTTCTCATTTGAGAGCTGGAGATGGGGTTGTCCCCTGCCAGATGACATATATACAAAAGATTCTATTAGAGATGAAAGGACCATCTGATCTCACTCTTTTCCCCTCCCATACACATTTAAATATATGGAAAACTGAGATTTAGGTAAAGTGACATGTCCAATATCTCATGTTGATTGTTAGTACAGCACACTTTCTGATCCTCGGCACTGTGGTCTTTCCAGAGATCCCCTAAGTAAGTCAATATTATAAAACGAGCACATACTAGGTTTATGCTCTTTATTAATATTTAGTAGTTCTTTCAGTCACCTTCTTAGGACAATAAATTGAACTTTTACAAACGAGGTGGTGCAAGACACTCATACATCTTTTTGGGAACTTTCCAATAGCTGCAAGGAAAAGCTATCATTATGTTACATCCAAACGTGCTTTTAAACTTCAGAAGGGACTAGGCATGGTGGCTCATGCCTGTATTCCCATCACTTTGGGAGGCTGAGGCAGGTGGATCACCTGAGCTCAGAAGTTCGAGACCAGCCTGGCCAACATGGCGAAACCCTGTCTCCACTAAAAATGCAAAAATTAGTCGGGCATGGTGGTGGGCGCCTGTAATCCCAGCTATTCCGGAGGCTGAGGCAGGAGAATCACTTGAACCCGGGAGACAGAGATTGCAGTGAGCCGAGATCGCGCCACTGCACTCCAGCCTGGGTGACAGAGTCAGACTCTTTCTCAAAATAAATAAATAAGTAAGTAAATACATAAATAAACTTCAGAAGGAAAAAAATAAAGCTTCTGTAAAGAGAGACTTCGTGGCAGATTAGGGTTACTAGCCACTTAAGAGGTAACCTCAAGTGGTTTCATGTAAATTATTTTCAATATGCAATGAACTTCAAGAGTAAGTTACATAGCAGGTAGCAGTAGTTACTATGGTTGCATAAGTAAACTATATCTTAGTTGGTAAATAGGTGTTGTTGTCGGATGCTTGCCATCATGTTATTCTTGTGTGGGTTTTTAACTGTTTAAATAACCAGGAGGAAAAAAAAATAGAAGGAAAGAGGAAAATATTCAGTACATCAGCAGGACTGTCTACAAAAAGAAACAGAATTTGCTGAGGAAAGCTACTTCTACTGCTCATTAACAGAGAGGCAAAAGTGATACATTGCCTTGATAAAACAGCTGGGATGCAAGCCTGCTTACAGGGGTTTTTAAATACCAAAAGCAGCTTATTTGAGCCAAACTGGAAGTAGGAAAGTGAGCCAAGGTGACAGAATTTCATACTGAGGCTGTTACATCCCCATGAACACTGGATCTTGGTGTCAGCTAAGCTGAGAAAAAACTTTGGTTTTGCAAAGTCAATGGATCTAGATTCCTGGTTGGAGTGGGGAGGGTTCCCTTTGCAATAAGAACTAGATGAATTCAGGTGGAAGGAGAAAATCCTTGGAAAATCTGTCCTTTCTCTCTTAAGGGAATAATGTTTTTCCATGGGTATCTGTGTTCAGGAGTCCTCTGCATAAAAAAATATAAAAAATATAAAAACACAAGAGTTTTACAATTGAGACAGACATGGATTCAAATCCAGGCTTAACAAATGATTTCATCTCTCAGAGTTCCAGCCTCCTTGTAAACCTTGTCAATAAAATGAAACTACCAATGCCTACTTGTAGGATACTGAGAAGATACATAAAATATGCTATAAACACCTAGTTCCATGCTTGATCTATCAAATGGTAGTTGCTGCTACTATTACTAGTAATACTACTACTGGACCACTAGTACTAATCTTCAGCCCAAAAGTCCTTTTCCAAAGGGAGAACTCTGACAAAGCCAGCATACAAAGCAGATTCACTAAGAGGTTCTATCTCTCCTTCTTGGGGGATAGACTGGGTTGGGCACAAACACACACATCGATCTCCATCGTACTTACTCTCACCCCCCATCAATCTCTGATCTCTCCCCCATCCCCTGAAGCATAAAAGATAGAGAGGTTGTACTATAAATGAGACAAAATAGGCTTCTATAAAATAAAACAACAAAGGAAATAAGATAAAATCTAAAAGTAGTAAAATTATCTAAAACCAATACTCAAACATGATACACTAAGTGGAAATGATAGTTTTAAACTTATTCTTATAGGGTCTACCAATATATTAACGTAAAGAAGAAAAAAAACCACAGAAAATTAAAGAAGAGAAATTAACTAAGATAATTAAATACTTGAATAAAAATGATAAAACATTCTATAAACACGACAATATAGAAAAAAAGCAATAGAACCTAGAAAGTTAAAGGACAAGCCAGTTAAGTAAAATGTACCATTAGCAAAAAGGATATACTAAAGAGATTACCTGCTAAAATGAAATAGCTTATAAAATTCTGACAAAACCACAAAATATAAAAATACACAGAAACCAGCTTAGGATCAAACCTGTCTGGACAATGAGCCTTTTTCAAATGGAGGAAAGAGACACGTCTTAGAAAAGAACACACTATAGGGGAGGACAGGGGCAAGAGACGTACATCTAGCTGAAAGTCAATGGTCCAATCACTGAAGGAACAAGTCTGAGCACTATGTCCCTCAGTTCCCGTATCATATCACACTGGGAACGTAAGTTAGTACTATTGTATAATAGTACCTATTATGGGTTGATTTTGAGCTCTGGAGAGAGATAGATATGTATTCATATTCTGGCTCTGTCACTTCCAAGCCGTGTGAATTTGGGCAAGTTTTATATATATAATCTCTCTATGCCTCATTTTCCTCATCTATCTATAAAGCTATGAGTAGTGTCTTTCTTATAAGATAGTCATGAATAAATGAGATAATCCATTTAAAGAGCTTAGTATAGACTGCTACATTAGCACAAACTCAATAAATGGTAGATGTTCCTTTTATTATCATTAGCTTAGGTAACAGAGATAGTGCAAGTGGTAAAGAGCTGTATTAGTCCGTTCTTGCATTGCTACAAAAAACTATCTGAGACTGGGTAATTTATAAAGAAAAGAGGTTTATCTGACTTACAGTTCCACAGGCTGTACAGGAAGCATGGCTGGGGAGGCCTCAGGAAACTTACAATCATGATGAAAACAAAGGGGAAGCAGGTACGTCCTACATGGCTGGAGCAGGAGGAAGAGAGTGAAGGGGTGGGGGTGCTACACACTTTTAAACAACCAGATCTCTTGAGAACTCATCCACTATCATGAGAACACCAAAGGGGAAATCTGCTCCCATGATCCAATTACCTCCCACCAGGACCCTCCTCCAACACTGAGTATCACAATTCGACAGGATGCTTGGGTGGGGACACAAATCCAAACCACATCAGGAGCTCTTTGGGACATGGCACACAGTGTTCTGAGCCAAAGAATACATGCCCAACACAATTGCATCTTCAGTATCAGAGGAGAGGAGGAAAGTGACAAATGCCACACAGAGTTTGAATGAAGTAATCAATAAGTATACACAAGCCCCCTTCTTCCATTAGGATAAAACATTATAGGATAAATTTGAGGTGTTTGGAGTTCCCACAGATTACTTGAAGAGAGCTCCAGAAAAAATATTGTTTTAATGCTTATTAAAGATAGTAATGTTGAAACCCAGAGAGAGAAATGAATTTGCCCAAGTTCACCCAGAACAGCTTTGAAAAACTTGTTAACAGACTCTACCTCTTTTTTGCATACTACACTCCTATATTTCCATTAGGAGTATTAAATGTCATTATATTGAATATCAACAGTATACACAACACTTCAGATATGATACAATGCCTGTGTCTAACCAAGCATTCCTGCAGTACCTACAAAGACCTCATACATACTTAAAATACTCATCACACATGCACCTAGGCAACCTGTTAGGTTGTAATTGCAATTCCTTTTGCACCAACCTAATAGTAAACATGTATTCATTTATGCATTCATTCACTCAGCAAATATATCGAGCACCTATTATATGCAAGATGTTGTGTTTGGAACTTCAAAGTGAAAACTAATCAGTCAATACATCTGACCTTGAAGAGCTTACAGATTAGCTGGGGTGACAATCAGGAAAATAATTAATAGCAAACTGATGAGATGAGTGTTATAATACAAATACATGAAAGCTTCTCTAGGAGTTACAATCTGATGAAGCAGGAACTAAATCTGCCTGCCAAGGGAATAAATCAGAGACAGTTTCCCTGAGGAAATAATGCTTAAATACTGAGGATGATTAGCAAGAAACTTGCCAAGAAACAAGGTCAATAAGGAAGAAGGAAAGTATATTATTGACAGAGACAACATCATGTAAATTGCAGCACATGTGAAATCACAATGTATGAAACTGGCAGGACAGGTGTCATTCAGCATGCCTGGAGTACAGGATGCCCATGAGAAAGTGAGACGCCTTAAGGGTAGAAAAGTAGGTGAGGAAGATTGCAATGGGCCTTATTATCCATGCTGAGGAGCTGTGCTTCATGCCTAGATAATGTAGAATGCTGTAGTATTTTAAGAGGTGAACATTACCCAATTTTCATTTTAGGAAGATCACTTTGGGTGCAATGTAGGGATGCTTTGACAGATAAAAAGCTGGAAGTAGACCAGTAGAGAAGAGCCACTGAGATATGATAGTGACTTGATCTAACATAAAGAAAGTCACCACTGAGACTAGGAAACACACACAGTGAAGACACTTTTCCCTACCCTAAAAGGAATGACAATTTAACAACTCTATAATATTATGTGGAATATTGTTATATCTCCTTTGAAAACAGCCCTGTAAAAGCGTGTATTGTAATCTCACATTTTTTTTGGAAGCATACCTAACAGCATGAGATATTCAGCTCCTATCCTCACCTCCTTTAGAGAATCTTCCAAAGACAGATTTGGGAAATACTCAGGACAATAGCCCACTGTTAATCTTGATCTTCTCATTCCATGTCTCCTTTTAAAAACATAAAGAATAACATCAACTCAAGATGGATTAAAGACCTAAATGTAAGACCTAAACCTACAAAATCCCTCGATGAAAACCTGGGAAATATGATTGTGGACATCAGCCTTGGCAAAAAATTTATGACTAAATCCCCAAAAGCAATTTCAACAAAAACAAAAATTGACAAGTGACATCTAATTGAACTAAAGAGCTTCTGTGCAGTGAAAGGAACCATTAACAGAGTAAACAGACAACCTACAGAGTGGGAGAAAATACTCACAAACTATACAACCAATAAAGTTCTAATATCCAGAATTTATAAGGAACTTAATTAAACGAGCCAAAGACAAACAACTCCATTTTTAAAAAATGGTCAAAGGACATGAACAGACACTTCTCAAAATAAAATATATATGTGGCCAACAAAAATATGAAAAAATGCTCAACACCCCTAATCATTAGAGAAATGCAAATCAAAACCACAATCCAATACCATCTCAAACCAGTTAGAATGGCTATTGTTAAAAGGCAAAAACAAACAAACAAACAAACAAACAAACAAAAAAAAAAACGCAGATATTGGCGAAGCTCCCAAGAAAATACTTAAAGACTGCTGATATGAATGTAAATTAGCTCAGCAACTGTGGAAAACAGTGTGGAGATTTCTCAAAGAGCTTAAAACAGAACTACCATTTGACCCATTTACTAAATATATACCCAAAGGAAAACAAATTGTTCTATTAAAAAGACACATGTACTTTTATGCTCAATCATAGTGCTATTCACAAAAGAAAAGACATAGAAGGAACCTAGATGCCCATCAATGGTGGACTGAATAAAGGAAATGTGGTACATATCCACCATGGAATACTATGCAGCCATAACAAAGAATGAAATCATGTCCTTTGCAGCAACATGGATGCAGCTGAAGGCTATTATCCTGAGAGAATAAATACAGGAACAGAAAACCAAATACTGCATGTTCTCACTTATAAGTGGGAGCTAAACATTGAGTACGCATTGACACAAAGTTGGGAACAATTGACACTGGAGACTACTTCAAGTGGGAGGGTCGGGGGGTGTGGGTGGAAGAACTACCTATTGGGTACTATGATCATTACAAGAATGATGGGACCATTTGAACATCGAACGCCAGCAACACACAACTTACCCATGTAACAAACCTGTACATGTATCCCCTGAAACTAAAATAAAAGTAAAAATAAATAAAATAAAAATGTAAGGAAGGTTTCTACAGTGGAATGATTATGTGATTTGTAAAGGGGTGATCAGGGTTCCAATCCCAAACTTACCATTTGTTTATTTTATGGCCTTAACTAACATATCTCTCTGAAACTGATGCTCTGCAAATGTAACATGGAATTGCTACATATTCCTACTTCACTCAAGATTCTGGTGAAGATGAAATCAAATAAAAACACACTGCGAAGTTACTTTGCAAACTGTAACATGCTATTTATGTGTTAGCTGCTAGCATATATAACATATATTACATCCCTGGACATGCAATAAATGCTCAGTTACATAGTAAATTCTTGCACTCAGCCATAGACATAAATCACAAAATAATCAACAAAAATTTGAAAATCTTCTAGATTCCTCTAGATTTCTCTATTTCCACTATATGCACTAATTCAAAACCTAAAAGGAAATTGATGCTAAGTTCTCAGTGTTACCTCATTCTACCAGAAACCCCAGCAAGAGAGGTGAGGCTGGTATTCATTTGACTTGCCATCATCACACAACACACAAGGAAACTGTCTCCTTTGTTTAAAAGCAATGTTCTCCTCCTTATATGTCTATAGGCTTAGTGTGCCAAATTGGGGGCCATATGAAGCATAAGCCCATGCTTATGCATTATGGCCACTGATATCAGCTGTTCCCACACACCTAAAATTTATGCCAACTACACATATGCTGAAATGAAGTGACTCTACCTCTAGACACACTGCCTATCTATCCAAAACCTCAACCATGACCACTGTGCTTCTGAACATGGTACAGATTGAGACTGTGGACAGGAGCACTGAAGCAGCTACACTCAGAAAGCAACCGTGGCTCAAGAGGAAAGAGCAGTTAAAACAGCCCAGCTGCCTTTGCGCCGGTCAAATGCCAAGCTCTCCAACAAAGACTTTACATATATGGAGTATATTTTTCACAAGTTTTGCAAATTTTACCCCCAATGAACTCAGTATTCTCTGATGAGAAACACCCCCCTTTTATTCTTCCTAGGATATATTCAATGACAGGAAATTGCTTAGCATATAGTAGAGAGTCAATAAATATGTAGTTTTTGATTGAGATTCAGGAATATTTAGAGTCTCTACAGGGCTCAACTAAAACAGCCAGCTGTATTAATACAAACCGTCCCTCAGAGGCTCTTTTAGAAATTGTCTCTAAACTGTCTCTAAAGTGCTGAATAATGGGTATAGCAGACAGCTCTGGTTTGCTGCCCAGCATCCATTTTTTCCTCCTTCATGGCAACAGAATCCTGAACTTTCTCTATTAGATAATTTGCAAAGGATTAACCTTACTACCAACCTCTGGAGGTGAACTCTGAGTGGCTTAAGCCAATTGGCATTTTCCAAAAACCTAAACATATTATTATTACTGCAAATGGTAAGACACATCCACTTGTCTCCTGAACAAGGAGACGTATTCATAAGGAGTTGTTCACAGCTATCTGTGACCTAAGGAGTAACTGGCACTAGGATGATGTCAACACCGTTGAAGACAGAGAGGAAAGACAAAAATAAACTAGGTCCTTGATGATCCTATTTGGTCACTGAATCGGACCATGTAAAATTCACAGTATCTCTGGATTATTCAGTTGTGTAAGTCTATACATTACCTTTATAATTTAACAATTTTGAGTCAGGTTAGAAGTCATATGCAACCAAAAACATCCTCATTTATACACTGGTCATTGTGAAATAAAATTCAAACTGGTACTTAGAGAGGTGAAGATGTCTTTTCTGAGGGACATATCCATAGTGTCTTCTATAAAAGAAATAAAGATTTTTCATAAGTACTTGCAAACCCATAGGACAGTCTCTGTAATCTTATTATACCACCAGAACAAACTGAAGTCCTTTCTTCTGCCCTTGGGTGAGTTATTCCTTCAACTGTTGGTTAGTGATAGATCATACTGCTTCACAGAGTGCAATTTCAGAAGCCTAAGATGGATTCCATTTCTTGTGGAAATGCACCTGAATGTTCTTTGGACCTTAATGTACTCCATTCACATCACTAGCTTCCTTAAAAGACTCCTATACAAATGTTACAACACTGTGGAAGTATAAATTTGGATCAGTAATAAAGATAGAGATCTACTGAGAAGAATTACTGAACACAATCCTGTTCTATGAGGCATGTATGACCATGGGCTATTTGGAGTTAGTCTGAAGAAGAAATGGGGATTACTGCCAAGCATCCTGGATACCTAATTTAAGGTATACAATCCCATGAGAGCAGACCCTCTTTAGAAGTGTAATCAGAGCCTCCTATGTAACAATACATAAATCAGGTCTCTGCCTTTTCTTAAGAAAAAATACCTTTTTCATGCTGACATTTGATGACTAAAACATAGGATCCCATTTTTCACTGATTTTCATGAAATATCTAAACTCCAGGAACCCAGTCTTGATTTGACTGCTGTCTAGTTCTTGCCAGAATCCTAGCTAAGTGGTACTGGCACAAGAATTGACAGACATTGACAGAACTGCATACATTTCACAGAGACATAATTAAATATAAATAAAAACTGAGTGGGTGATAAAGATAGGCGCATAATGTAATGAGAAAAAAATGGAGGAACTATTCAAGTGATTTTTTTTTTTTTTGAGATGGAGCCTCGCTCTGTTGCCTAGGCTGGAGTGCAATGGTGCGATCTCGGCTCACTGCAAGCTCCGCCTCCTGGGTTCACACCATTCTCCTGCCTCAGCCTCCCAAATAGCTGGGACTACAGGCACCCACCACCAAGCCTGGATAGTTTTTGCATTTTTAGTAGAGACGTGGTTTCACCATGTTAGCCAGGATGTTCTCGATCTCCTGACCTCGTGATCTGCCTGCTTCGGCCTCCGAAAGTGCTGGGATTACAGGCATGGGCCACTGCGCCCGGCCTCAAATAATTTTGAGATAATTGTCTACATGGCAAAAGACTCAAGATAGACATTCAAATTATATACCCAAATACATTCAAGATAAACAACAAAAAAAACCCAAACATAGAAATGAATATACGGACGAATAATTAATCTCTTTGCAAAGAACAACTTTTAAAATATAAAAGTAGAAAAAGAATTTGCAAAGGAAAAGAAAGATTTGATCACCTAAACATATAATACTTTCGTATGCCAAAAAAAGCTTTAAGGAAATAACAGACTGGTAAAAACAAAACAAAACAACAACAAAAAAATCTTCCCCAAATGGTAATGATGTCAATATATTTAATAAAGAAAATGCTCCTAATAACTTAAGACAAAATATATCCACGATCTAATAGAAAAACAGGAACAAAATGGAGGGAATTCACACATTCAAAATAAATAACCCCAAACACACTTAGAATGCCTAAAGTAAATTAAAATAGGGACAACACCAAATGCTGGTGAGGATGCAGAGATACTGGAACATTGATGATATGCAGAATGTTATCGTCACTCTGGAAACAGTTTGACACCTTCTCGCAAAACTAAACATGAGCTAACCATATGACCCAGCAATTACACTCTTAGGCATTTACCCCAGAAAAATCAAGTCATGCCCATATGAAAAGATACGTAAGAATATTCATAGCAGCTTTATTTCCAATAGCCAAAACTATTGATGCATTCAAAAACTTAGATGACTTTAAAAGGGTTTATGCTAACTGAAAAAAGTCAATATTAAAAGATTAAAAACTATATTATTCCATATATATAATTTTCTAAGATTGACAAAAGTATAAAAATGGTGATCAGATTAGTGGTTGCTAGAGGTGAGAGATGGGGGGAGATGAATGCAAATGGCTATCAATGCGTAGAGCAAGTCCTGTACCTTGATTGTGCTGAAAGTTACATGAAGCTAAACAAGTGATGAAATAGATAAAACTACACACACAAAGACATACATAAATGTACATGAGTACGTGTAAAACTGGTGAAATCTGAATTAGGTCTGTGAATTGTACCAATGTTGATTTCCTAGTGTTGATACTGTACTATAATTATGTACCGTGTTAACATTGGGAAAAGCTGGGTGAAGAAGGGAGCACAGGACCTCCTTGTACGTTTCTTTGCAACTTCCTGTGAATCTACAATTCAAAATAGAAAGCTTAAAAATAGATGACCATAAATATATGAAAATAAATTTCACCTTCGGTGGTAATGAAAACTGCAAATTAAAAAACAGCACACATTTTTATCTAATTGCCACTTTTTAAAATTAAAATACTTGAAACTAGTCGTGCTGAAGTGAGTTAGGTACTCTAATGTACTACCATATTGTTCTATAAATTAGTAGCATCTCTTTGAAGAGCAATCTGGAAACAGGTAGCAAGAAAGTCCTTTTGAGTCTCTCCGTGCCATAGTAGGGAAATCTCTGTTCTATTACTATTCCTTTCTCCCTCTTCCCCACAAGAGCAGGAAATATGATTGTACCGTAGTACAATCTATTTGTACTACGGGTCATCTATCAGGCTAAATTTACCTTCAGGCAGGAAAACTGTTATATAAGGCTACCCCCATATTTCCATATTTTTTGGTTGGTTCGTTCTCTCTTTCTGTATGTTTCTCACTCTCTCGTTCATTTTTGGATTCCTGTGACTAGGTAGCTGGCCATTTTGTAATCTTTCCTCACTCCCTCTCATCTACATTTTTCCTACACAAATCCTGTCAAATATAGCCCCAAATTCTACGTTGCATCCCTAAGACAGCTTAAAGAAATCATCAGGTATATTTGAAGATTTATATATAGGGTTATTCATTTGAATGTTAATCACAAAATTTTAAATTAGAAATCTGAAAAATTAAGTACTCTAAAAGTAGGAGACAAGTTAAATGTGGGATATAATATAGCCATTAGAAATAATAATTTTGAAGGACAACGAAATAGTAATATCTTTAAAATATGTGAAACTTTAAAAATCAGGATACAAGAAAATTAGGATAAAATATCTATTTTTTTTATTTATTCTTAGGAAAGTAAATTTACATGCAAGTTTACTACCTAGTAGCACACACCTAAATTATAATTGTTAAATTACAATGCAATGTTTTAATAATGTTTTAAAATGGCTTAAAATAATTGGCATTCTCAAAAAGTAGATGCTGTAATTTTAAATAATCCTTTTTTTCCTAATTATATTTACTTATTAAATATTTTGTTACTGTGATGCGGACATAAGTGTTAGACTTTTAATCATGATAATCTGGTTCTTTAGCGGTACTGGTGTTAATTTTAACTAATTATGGAAATGAAATTATTGCTTCCACAGAAATTGTTGGTAGCTCTATAGTTGGCTTGAAATCTTCCCAGTTCCTCCTTCACCCTCTGAAATTTAAAAAAAAAAAACACTGTATCAAAGCTATATCAAGTATTATGCCTCTTTAAAAAAAACCTCAAGAAAATTACATAAAGTTCCTTCTAAAACTAAATTTCTATGATTCTATTGGACTCTTTCACACATGGCAGAATAAGAAGAAACAAGAAAAAAACAGCATGAGTAGGCACTCTACTTTTCATTTGTTACTGTCAGAGATATGTATTTTATGATTTCCACTAACCTACAAAACCTTTCCTGGGGAAAACCGAGGAAACAGAAGTGGAGAGGGCTGACCTTCTCATGGTGGTTCTGAACATCAGAATAGATGGCACTTGTGCAATATATTATGTTTATTTATATTGCATAATAAAGGTTAAATAGGTAGCTAGCAATATTGAAGATTTAGGTGTTTTATGTACCTATATATAATTATATATATAACTACATAGATGATATATAACATAGATACCTATATATAACATATATAACATATATAACATATATATATATATATATATATTCCATGCAGCATTAACATTTTCAACATCAAATCAATTTTAAGGACAGTCTTATTTTATTGCACACCATTGTGCTCTTTTTTATTGTACTTTAAGTTCTGGGATACATGTGCAGAAGGTGCAGGTTTGTTACATAGGTATACACATCGTTGTATTCTTAAAGTGCTAATACTAGACCTAATTCAGTTTTTTTTTTAAAAAAAAACTATTTTCCACACCGTAAACATCTACTCTGTGAGATGATGCACTGAGAGATGATCGAGCCGTGTACAGCTGTTCAGTCTTATCCAAAATGGCCTCTGAATGCTGTGTGTTTAGAGATGTCTGTCTGTTTCCCTGG
Organism: Homo sapiens; assembly: GCF_000001405.40. Classification (NCBI taxonomy): domain Eukaryota; kingdom Metazoa; phylum Chordata; class Mammalia; order Primates; family Hominidae; genus Homo; species Homo sapiens. The sequence goes on from NC_000023.11 coordinate 147,438,976, forward strand.
TGTTCATAAACACATTTTGAGGATACCTTTTTGCCCTCTTTACTTCTACTTTGACTTGCACTGAGGTAGTTCTTTAGGCTTTTGTCTCAATGAAATCAAGCTGTTCATGCCTAGGGTGATGATATAAATGACTGGCCAAATGAGGATACTTTTGAATGGAAAAGAGTACTATTAATAATTATGCAGTAACAATATGAATAAAGGAGGGTTACCCCAGGCAAACTGGGATGCATTGGTCATCCCACCCATGTCTCAAGCAGCTATCAAAGAGAAACTCAAAATCAGTTTGAAACATGCCCTCAGGCAAAAATCAGTTTTAGTGTTCATTTATCTTTCCGGATTCCCAGTTTCACTCCCTTTCTATCTTCTAAACATGTCCCTTAATTTTCTAGTGAGTTCAGTGATGTAATTTAAAATGTTTTTTTTAAATAGTTTATCAAGCATTTTTAGTTGTTTTACACAAGAGGATAGCTCAGGGTATCTAGTTTCCCACTCTGCTAAAAATAGAGATCCTGATTGCCATCTTTTAATGTGTATAAACATGCAAACATACACATAAAGAGAAATGCAATTTTTAAAAGTCTGGCAAGAAACAAAATGTTAAGAGTCATAATTTATAGAAAGCAAGAATATGCGTGATGTGTTTTCTCTTTAAAAAATTCTCTATATATCCAAATGCTTTACAGTAAGTTGTATTACTTTTGTATAAGAGAAAAAAGCTGAGATGATTGATATTTGAGGAAATCAATCTAAGAAATAAGCTCATCTTCTATGAGTTGAGATTCAGCAATCTCTATTCTTATGCGAAATCATGTAATCAAGAGCTCTGTATCTTGATTATTGTATTTTACTTCCTTTTAGAACATTTTCATTATTTATAACTGTTTTACCCTAATTTTTTTTCATCGATGACCAGTATGTAATGTGCTGTTCACTGCCTTCTATATAAGTATTCATCTCTCCAATGTCTCGTACAGAAACCAAAGAAAATCCACCTTTTATAACCAATTGGCATGGTTCATTTTAATCACTTGTGGTTATAAAAATACTTCTTTTTGTCTAGCTGTCAATATCCTCACTGTAAAGCAGGGATAATAATCTATTTAAGAAGTTTATTGTGGCAATAACATGGTGTAACGTTTACAAAACACCTATATGGTGCCCTTTCCTGTCACCACCACTTTTGTGCATTAACAGCTAAATGTAACCTTCAGTTATATGTGATTCGTGTTCGTTTTGTTTCTTTATTTTTCCCTTGTTTTAAATTTATCCGAGTTTTTCTCTGTAAGGCCAAATTCTTTTGGAAAGTAGGTAAACGCAAACAACCCAGATAAATTAACTGACAAGTTTATTGAAGAAGCTATATTTCAGAAGGGCTATGCATCCTTCTATGTTCATTGCAGCATTATCCACAATAGCCAAAATATAGAAAACAATGTAGATGTCCATCAATGGATGAATAAAGAAACAGCGTTGTCTCTATAGACATAGATATATGTATACACACACACACACACACATATATACACACATACACACAATGGAATATTATTCAGCCTTAAAAAAAAAGAGGAAATCCTGCCATTTGCCACAACATGGATAGACCTAAAAGACATTATGCTAAGTAGAATAAGCCAGAGAAAGAAAATTATCTCACTTATATGCAAAATTAAAAAGGTCAAATATAGAGATAAAAAATAAAACAGTGATTATCAGAGTCAGGAGTAAGGAGAGGAAATAGGGAGATGTAGGTCAAAGGGTGCAAAGTAGCAAATATGTATGAGCAAGTCCAAAGATCTAATGTACAACATGAGGATTATAGTTAATAACAGTGTATTGTATTTAAGATGTTTACACCTTGAATTTAGCTGCTATCATTGTGGGAATACAAGATATATATACATATATATATGTGTGTATATATATATGTACACATATATATGTGTACATATATATATATATATCTTGTATTACGTTGCATACATACCTTAAATATATGCAATAAAATTTGTTTAAAGAAAGGGCTATGCATCATTGTTGCCACCGCTAGAGGACTCACCTTTTTTTTTTTTTTTTTTTTTTTTGTTTGAGATGGAGTCTCGCTCTGTCGCCCAGCCTAGAGTGCAGTGGCACGGTCTTGGTTCACTGCAACCTCCCCGCCTCCTGAGTTCAAGCAATTCTCCTGTCTCAGCCTTCTGAGTAGCTTGGGTTACAGGTAAACACCACCACGCCCCAGTTAATTTCTGTATTTTTTAGTAGAGATGGGGATTCACCATATTGGTCAGGCTGGTCTCGAACTCCTGACCTCAGGTGATCCACCCAACTCGGCCTCCCAAAGTGTTGGGATTACAGGCATGAGCCACCACACCTGGCCCCAGCTATCTTTAAAAAAAATCAGTGATTTATTTAACATTTACTGGCTGAGCAAATGTTTATTTAACACCTGCTATGTGCCAGGTGCTATTCTATATCTGAGGGATACAGCACTGGTTAAACTAGACAAAGTATTTGAGCTCTTGAAGGTCATTTTTTTGTATATGTTTTTGGAGGGTATGTGATGGGGTGAAGAGATCGACAAGCAAGTCAATTACAGATTATGATACGTAATACTTTGATTGAAATATGCAGGATAATGTGATTTACAATGATTGGATGGTTATTTAAGCAAAGTACCAGGGTTATGGAGATGATATCTGAGTTAATTTTACCTAACTTTTGAGTACCTACTAGTGTTAGGCATATTTTTAAGCACTTCACATGCATTAACTTATTTAATCTTATAACATCCCTACAAAGTGTTATCATTATCCACATATTACGTATGAGGAAATTGAGGCACCAAGAAATTAAGTAACCTGACAAAGTTAGGAGGCAGAGACAGGATTCAAATGCAATATTTTTATTTCAAAACCTGGTGTTCTCCACCACTGGCAGAGGCATTTGAACCAGAATGACTTCATTTTGAATAGGAGGTGGGTAAAATAAGGCTGAGACCTACTGGGCTTCATTCCCAGGAAGGTAAGGCATTCTTAGTCTCCGAATGAGATAGGAGGTCTGCACAAGATACAGGTCACAAACACGTTGCCAGCCAAAACCTACCAAAACCAAGACAGCAATGAGAGTGACCTCTGCTTGTCCTCACTGCTCATTATGTGCTAATTATAATGCATTAGCATGCTAAAAGACACTCCCACCAGTGCCACGACAGTTTACAAATGCCATGGCAACATCAGGAAATTATTCTATATGGTCTAAAAAGGGGAGGAACTCTCAGTTCTGGGAATTGCCCACCCCTTTCCCAAAAAACTCATGAATAATCCACCCCTTGTTTAGCATATAATCAAGAAGTAACAATAAGTATAAGCAGCTGAGCAGCCCATGCTGCTGCCAATGAAGTAGACATTCTTTCACTCCTTTACTTTCTTAATAAACTTGCTTTCACTTTACTCTATAGATTCACCTCAAATTCTTTCTTGCGTGAGATCTAAGAACCCTCTCCTGGGGTCTGTATCGGGACCCCTTTCTAGTAACACCACTATGCTACAGTGCAAAAAAACAGGAGAACACTGGAGGCCATCATGCTAAAAGAAGTATCTCGGAATGGAAAGCCAAATACTGTATGATCTCATAAGTGGGAGCTAGGCTATGAGGACAGAAAGTCCTAGAGAGTAATATGATGGACTTTGGAGACTCAGTGGGGAAGGTTAGGAGAGGGGTGAGAGACAAAAGATGACATGTTGGGTACAGTGTACACTGCTCGGGTGATGGGTGCACTCAAATCTCACAATTTACCACTAAAGAACTCATCCATGTAACCAAAAACCACCTGTACCCAAAAACTATAGAAATTATATATATACAGACATATACATGCACATATATACACACATATATACACATATATACACACATATACACATACACATATACACATATATACATACACACATATATATATGTGTGTGTATATATATATATATATATATATATATATACACAACAGGGGAAGAGTATAACAAGCAGAAGGAATAGTAAATTCAAAAGCCCTCACGTGGGCATGATGGAAATGATCCAGTACCAATTGTTACATTGATGCATGAGAAAAAAAAGGATATAACAGCAGGAGTGACATCCTTAAGTAGGTGAGAATTACTGCTGAGAGAAAAGGATAGCTGTGCACTGGTGCTCATGAGCTCCACTACCAAGAACAGTGATGGGAGTTAAGGCTGACTCACAGCTGGTAGCTACCACAAGCTAGGGTAGAAGCTGGGGAGACTGCTGCACGCTTTTCTATTACCTAGGGTTAATCACTCTTGAGAAAAGGAGGTCAGCCAGGAATAACCTCAAAACCTCTCACCAAGGAAAGTGCTACAATTTCCAGTACAAACAAATAAAACAAACAAAAAAAAAATGGAAAGGTTTGAAGACCAAATATATTGGGTAGTAGTGCAAGCTAATCATTGGCATTCATCCTAAGTGCTTCTTTTATTTAGGGTTGTTATCATGTGACTGTATCTTATCAGAGCAGAGATTTTTGTCTTGGTGGTGTTTTATCCCTTGCATGAATAGCTATGCTTGACATGGAAGGTATTCAATAAATATTTGTTAAGGTCTTAAAATATTTTGATTCACAGATAATGACTTTGTTACAGGTAGTTACACAGCCATGAGCACTGCAGGAGAGGGCTCTTCCCCCCACTCACAAGGAATGTTGTGTGATGATGGTTCCACAATTATCACATTGACTCTCTGAAAGTGATAAATTGTCAGCCAGTGTGAGGGAGAGGCCATTTCCTGATGGTCCACACCTGTTGCACTAAAGTGTTAACTGAACGCAGATGCCAGGGAGATGCAAATTCCTGGGCATGTGGATTGAGAGACAAAATGGCCGCATATGACCTTCCAGGGACACACTACCGGAAAAGGGAAGAAAGATTCCAATGGGCATGCATACAACTTCCTAAACACACTGCATGTGCTCACTTCCCAAGGGTAACAGGGGCACTGCACATGCAGCCAGTCCATCCTAAGGAAAGAATCATGGGAGAGGGGCCAGCCCATGAAGTCCTAGGATCAAGGTTAAACACCACACTTGACCTTCACCTGCCTACTTCGGTCTCTTCTAAGCGTTCTTTCCTGTTCTAAAAACCTTTTTAAATAAACTTCCCCTTCGGTTCTGCAACTTGCTTCAGTCTCTTTTTCTGCCTTATGCCCCTCACTTGAGGGGTATAAGGAGGCAACAATTGAGGAAGAATTGAGGTTGCTGCAGACTCGTATGGATTTGCCACCAGTAACCAGGATATGTTCCACCAGTAACAACTTCACCTATTATCTCATCTCAAGCTAAAAATTAATTCAGGAAATAAACTTGGAATTTGGAGTCCTACACCAGACTCTGTCAGTCTTCTGTCCACATTCCTTTGGATCCCTTTGCCATTCTCATGCACACAGGCTCCTGGTGTGTTTTAACTTCCAAAAGCCAGCACTACGGTTGGTGCACTCTTTGTTGGAGGAATCCCCTCAGGCTGCTGGGATCCCTGACCACACCCAAGAAGATCAAGAGGTACCTGGGAATTTACATTCCTCACATATATCCCTAGGCTAATGACAGCATGGTGTAGAAATATAAGTACCCCTGCTCCCCTGCTCCAGTAGAACAGCTCTGAGATGTCATCCTCATCTAATTAAGTTTAGTATAGAGCCGCCTTTTCCATGTTTTAAGTTCAGCCTAAAGGTTTCTCTGTACATACTAAACTGTAACCTAACTGGGTATATAAATAGACTGTAAACTACTGTTGTGCTAATCACTGAGTTTCAGCCAATCAAGGGTGGCCAACTGTTCAAACCATGTTCAAATAAGGCAAACACCACACTGTAACCAATCCAGCTGTTTCTGTACTTAGCTTCCATTTTCTGTACTTTTCTTTTTCTCTCCTTAAATCCTCTCTGGCCACATGGCAGCTCTGGAGTCTCTCTGAATCTACTCTGGTCTAAGGGCTGCCTGACTCACTAATCATTCTTTGTGCAATTCAATTCTGTTTAATTTGTCTAAAGATTTTCTTTTGACACCCACAGTGTCAGAGACATTCGAAGCATAGTGACTACATCTTGAAAGGGGCTGCGTAAATTAAGACTAAGACCTTCTGCACCACATTCCCAGGAGATTAGGCATTCATAGTCACAGGATGAGATAGGAGGTCCACAGGACTATATTACAAGATACAGGTCATAAAGACCCAGCTGATAGGATGTAGTAAAGAAGCCAGCCAAAACCCATCAAATCCAACATAGTAATGAAAGTGACCTCTGGCCGTCCTCACTGCACATTATATGCTAATTATAATGCATTAGCATGCTAAAACACACTCCCATCAGCACCACCAGAGTTTAAAATGCCACAGCAACATCAGGAAGTTATTCTGTACGGTCTAAAAGGGGGAGGAACCCTCAGTTCTGGGAATTGCCTGCCCCTTTCCCAGAAAACTCATGAATAATCCACTCTTTAATGTATGACCAAGAAATAACTATAAGTATACTCAGTCAAGAAGCCCATGCTGCTGCTCTGTCTACAGAGCAGCCATTCTTTTGCTTCTTTACTTCTTAAGTAAACTTGCTTTCATTTTACTCTATGGTCTTACCCCAAATAGGTATAGCTTCATACTACTGAATATGGATATCCAGTTTTCCCAGCACCATTTATTGAAGAAAGTATCTTTTCCCCAGTGTAGGTTCTTGGCATCTTCGTTGAGAATGAGTTTACTGTAGATGTGTGAATATGGTTCTAGGTTCTCTTTTATGTTCCACTGGGCTATGGGTCTGTTTTTATGCCAGTACCATGCTGTTTGGTTATTGTAGCTCTGCAGTGTAATATGAAGTCACTGTGACTCCTCCAGTTTCATTCATTTTTTGAGAAAGAGTCTCACTCTGTTGCCCAGGCTGGAGTGCAGTGGCGGAATCTCGGCTCACTGCAACCTCCGCCTTCCAGGTTCAAGCCATTCTCTTGCCTCAGCCTCCCAAGTAGCTGGAATTACAGGCATATGCCACCATGCCCAGCTAATTTTTGTATTTTTAGCAGAGATGGGGTTTCACCATGTTGGCCAGGCTGGTCTCGAACACCCGACCTCAGGTGATCCAGCTAGCCTCGGCCTCCCAAATTGCTGGGATTATAGGCATGAGCCTAGTTTTTTTTCTTTTTGCTTAGGGTGGCTTTGTCTATTTTGGGTCTTTTGTGGTTCCATATAAATTTTAGGATTATTTTTTCTATTGCTGTGAGAAATATCGTTGTTATTTTGATTGATAGAAATTGTATTGAATTTGTAGACTGCTTTAGGTAGTATGGACATTTTTAACAATGTTGAGTCTTCCAATTCAAGCATAGAATAACGTTCTATTTTTTTGTGTCCTCTCTTCAATTTTGTACATGTCAATGTTTTATAGTTTTCATTGTAGACGCTTTTTACTTTTTTGGTTAAGTTTATTCCTATCTTTATTTATAGCTTTTGTAAATGTCATTACTTAATTGATTTCTTTTTCAGAATGTTTGCTGTTGGCATATAGAAACACTACTCAGCTTAGCATGTTGAATTTATATCCTGCAACTTTACTGAATTTGTTTAGCACTTCTAACAGTTTTTTGGTGGAGTCTTTAGGTTTTTCCTAATATAAGATCGTATTATGTGCAAACAAGGATAGTTTGGCTTTTTTCTTTCCAACGTGGATGTCATTAATTCTTTCCCTTTTCTGATTGCTCTAGCTAAGACTTCCAATACAATGTTGAATAACAGTGGTTGAAGTAGGCATTCTTGTTAAGTTCCAGATCTTAGAGGAAAGGCTTTCAGTTTTTCTAAATTCAACATGATACTAGCTGTGGGTCTGTCATATATAGCTTTTACTATTTTGAGGTACGTTCATTCTACACCTTATTTTTTTTTTTGAGGATGTTTTATCACGAAGAGATGTTAAACTTTATCAAATCCTTTTTTCAGCATCAATTGAAATGATCATTTGACTTTTGTACTTTATTCTGTTAAGATGTATCACATTGATTGTTTTGTGTATGTTGACTCTTTCTGCATTCCTGGGATAAATCCCACTTGATCATGATGAATGATGTTTTTAATGTATTGTTGAATTTGGTTTGCTAGTGTTTTGTTGAGAATTTTTGCATAAATATTTATCCGGGATATTGGCCTGTAGTTGTTTTTTTTATTAATGTATCTTTGTCTGGTTTGGTATCTGAATATTACTAGCTTCATAGAATGAGTTTGGAAGTATTCCCTCCTCCATTTTTCACAATAGTTTGAGTAGGATTGGTATTTTCTTTAAATGTTTGGTAGAATTCAGCAGTGAAATCATTAGGTCGCAGGCTTTTCTTTGCTCAAAGACATTTTTATTACAGCTTCAATCTCACTACTTGTTATTGGTGTATTCAGGTTTTGAATTTCTTCTTGGTTCAGTCTTGGCAGGTTTTATGTGTCTAGGAATTTATCAATTTCTTCTAGGTTTTCAATGCATTGGCATATAGTTGCTCATAGTCATCTCTAATGATTTTTTGACTTTCTATAATGTCAATTCTCATGTCTCCTTTTTCATCTTTGATTTTATTTATTTTGGTCTTCTCTCTTTATTCTTAATCTGGCTAAAGTTTGGTCAATTTTGTTGGTATTTTCAAACACCATTTTTCTTTGTTTTATTGATTTTTATATATTTTTTCAATTTCAGAATTAAAAAGGGATTTATTTTAAAATACTACTGCCCACTGACAATAAACCCAAGAACTCTGATGGAGATGAATGCTGCTTTTATGCCTCCTAACTCAACACTCATTCTGCAGCCCATAGATCAAAGAGTAATTTCAACTTTCAGTTTGTCTTATTTAAGAAATATATTTTGTAAGGCTATAGCTGCCATAGACAGTGATTCCTTTGATGGATCTTAGCAAAAACAATTAAAACCCTTTTCAAAAAAATTCACTATTTTAGATGACATCAGGAACATTCATGATACATGGGAGGAGGTCAAAGTATCAACATCAACAGAAATCTTTTGTTTAAACAAAGGGTCAATTGATGTGGCAATCTTCATTGTTGTCATAGTTTAAGAAATTTCCACAGCCATCCCAACCTTCAGCAACCATCACCCTGATTAGTCAGCAGCCATCAACACTGAGGGAAGACCTTCCACCAGCAAAAATACTATAACTTGTTGAAGGCTCAAATGATCATTAGCATATTTTTTTTTTAGCAATAGAGTATTTTTAAATTAAGGTATGCACTTTTCTTATACATTATCCATTTGCACACTTATTAGACTACAGTATAGTGTGAACATGACTTTTATATGCACTGGGAATCACAGAAATTTGTCTTTCTTTATTGTGATATTCACTCCTACTGCAGTGATCTGGAACCAAATCCTCAACATTCCTGAGGTATGCCAGTATTGGTTTTTATGTAATACAATATTAAAGTAGAAATCATCTAAGAATTATTATTTTTAAAAATGACTGAAAGCTAAAAAGCAAATAAGGTCAAATGGACATAGGAATATTTGTGGAAATATTTGCAATACAAATAATATTAACACATTTGCAATCAAGCAGCTCTTATAAATCAATACATGACACCAATACAATATAAAAAAGATAAATCACATCATGTCACTTTTCTGATCAAAACCTACAACTGTCTCCACATTTGCTACTAAATAAAACCAAAACTCATTCATCTGTTACATAAGGGATTTTAGCATTTTATTTATATATCTCTTCCAAGCCTTCTCCCTTCTTATTTCAGCTTGTGCATCTGACAAAATAGAGGAACAAAACTCACTGTTCTTCACACAAGCTCCTTTTCTGCCATGGTTCATGTTGTTTATTTGCATGGAATTATACCTGTATCCCTTCTTTCAATGTCTAAATTCAAAGTAACCTTTAGGCCCCGACTGAAATACTCCTCCTACATGAGGCCTTCCTTGATTCTGTCTACCAGGAGTACTTTGTTGCTTCTCTGAAATCCATGCCACTTTTTCTGGGACTCTCACAGGACTTACTGTATTCTCACTTGTGTTTTAGAAATTTGTGAATGTGTTTACCTCCTCTGTGGCCTGTAAGATCCAAAGCCTGATAATTTGCCACCTTCTTGGTTTCCCATGATAGAACCTAGCACATATAACAAGGCAAAGGGGTGTCATAATAATGAGGCATAATAAAACCAACTGTACCACACCAACAAGACAGAGTAATGGTTAAAACAACCTAGTTTCAAAATCCAGGACTGCAGCCTACTAAATAATTCCGTAACATTCCCTGATATTTCTGAGCTTTGAAACTTACTTCTATAAAATAGGGTTAAAATTTACCTTAGGGCCGTTGGAAATTTTAACTGAGGTAGCATTGTTGTGGTCACGGATCTAATATTATCTATTGGATATTTGCTATTTTTCAGGCACTAAGAATTTTATATTTATTAGATGTCTAACCCATAATTATTTAGATATTAAAACACCCTGCACCAGGAAGTTATAAATGGGCAATTTGTATTAAGTACTAACAACTTGCTCATACAGATATGTGCTTTGAAAGTGAATCATTGAAATTATAAATTAAATAGTATTTTTGTTTCTCACACCATTGATTTATAACCACTGCTCTAGCCAGTCTATTCAAGAAAATTATAGGGTATGTAGATACACAAAATTGGAATGGAGGAAGAAATAGGCACAGATATAAAATAGGTGTTTGTTCATCAGGATGTATTTGTGTAAAATTTTATAAAAACTGAAATTGAAAATCTTGGGAACATAGACAATTATATATAAAGACAATATTGCCAAAATTACTTCAACAATGAGACACCTGAACAAGTCAATAAGCATGGAGGAATGTGAAAAGGACTCAGGTGGAGTTAGAGAGAAATTCTGACAAATGTTAAGTGACAGATAATTCCAGAAGTTGGGAAAAAAAAAACAGAAATCTTTCTCCTCTGTGTATATGGCTGAAGTCATCACTAGAGGAACAGAATCTTTTTGACCAACAAAAATACAGAACTGAATCTAAGGAAATCATGGCTGCTGAAAAAAATACAACAACGACACAGAATACCAAAAGGAAAATATCTCAAAATTATGTATACCAGCATCTCTGTGTGACCTCTGAAACACACATATGCAGAACAGAAACAAAGACAAAATCAAAAGATAACGATCCGAACTGAGACAGAGATGTCCAATAAACAAAGTTTATAGTGCAAGTTCAGTCAAGATAATTACCAGCATAAAAACAAATAGAGAAACTCATCAGGTTAATAACAGAATTCAGAATATTCACAAATTAGTATTTATAATATCCATGATTCTTCCAAAATAACCAGTGGAACCAGTGGAAAACCTCAAAAGAAGGAAAATCAATCAAGTCTGACCCTGAGATGAAACAGATTTTAGAAATAGCTCATAATATTTTAAAAGTGGTCCTTTTAACGAACCTAAATGAAATAAATCAAAGTCTATTCAAAATAAATGAAATTATAAAAATCTCAGGAGATAAATGGAAACAATAAAAAATGCAAATTCTTGAACTGGAAAATATATTTTAAATATAAAAGTCACTAGATGAATTTAACAGTAAAGTGGATATGAAAAAATAATGAGAACTTGGAAATAAATATATAGAAATTATCCAATGTACAGGATATACAGAGAAACACACACACACACACACACAAATAGAACAGATTATGAAGGATCTGTTGGATAATATAAAACAGCCTAACGTACTTATAATTGGAATCCCTGGAAGAGAGGAGAAACAGAATGAATCAGAAAAAAAATGAAGAAATAGTGGCTAAAAACTTCCAAAATATAATGATGAAAGGCAGAAAATTATTTACTACAAGATATTCAATGCACACCAAGCAAAATAAATTCTCAAGAAAAGCATGCTGAGTCACATCATGTTGAAACTTAAAATTCAAAGAAAAGGTGAAAATTCTGAAAGCAGCAAGAGAAAAATGACACATTACTTAGAGCAGAACAAGTGATCCAGTTAATAGTTCACTTTGAATCAGAAACCCTGGAGGCCACATGAGAGTGAAAAACATCTTTAAGCTGCTGAAAGAAGACAGCTCAAAAATATCCTTCAAGAAAAGAAGTACGATGAATACATTTTAACAAAAAATAAAGAAAATTTATTCCATCAAAGCTGACCTATAAGAAATGCTAAACAGTACATTTTTCCCACTGAAGAAAAATGGCTTAATATTGTTACTATAATACTCCCCAAATTGATCTACATATTTAATGATATCGCTATTAAAAATTTCAACTGCATTTTTTTGGCTGAAATTTATAACAAAGCTGATTGTAAAATTCATATGGTAATGCAAAGGTGCCAAAGCAATTAAATGGAAAAAGGGTAGTCTTTTCAAAAAACTGGTGCTGGAAGAATTGGCTATCTATATGCAAAATGATGAATTTGGACTCAAAACATACACCTCACACAGAAATTAACTCAATATGGATCATCCACCTAAATTAAAGAGCAAAATCTAGAAAAACTCTTAGAAGAAACAAATAAATATTTATGATGCTAAGCTGGGCCAATAAAAACAATTTTAAAAATAGACAAAAGCTTTAAATAGACATTTCTCTAAGGAAAGATATACAAGTGGCCAACAAGCTGATGAAAAGATACTCAACATTATTACATTAGGGAAATGCAAATCAAGACCAGATGTTATCCTACCTGGGTTGCTGTAACCTAAAGACAGATGATAACAAGTACTGCTGAAGATTTAGAGATACATATAACAACATGAATAAATTTCAAATGCATTATGCTGAGATAAGGAAGCCATATTCAAAAGACCACTGTAACATTTCATACTAGAACATCTCAAAAAGACAAAAATATAGAGAACAGATCAGTGATTGCCAGCAGTTGAGATGGGGGTGGGGAGAAATTAAACTATAAAGTGGGTACAAAAGGAAATTTGGAGGGTGACACATTGGTTCTATATCTTGGTTTATGTAGTAGTTACAAGATTGCATGCATTTGTCAAAACAAATAGTACTGTTCACAAAAAGGCCAACTTGTAGTGAAGATAAGTGTGATGATTAATATTAGGTATTAACTTGATTGGATTGAAGGACGTTAGATGGCTGGTAAAGTATTGTTTCTGGGTGTGTCTGTGAGGGTGTTGCCAGAGGAGATCGACATTTGAGTCAGTGGACTGGTAGAGGAAGACTCATCCTCCATGTCGGTGAGCACCATGCAACTGGCTGCCAGCTGACTAGAACAAAGCAGGAAGAAGGCAGCCGGATAACCTCGCTTGCTGGGTCTTCTTCCTTCTTTTTCCCAGGCTGGATGCTTCTGCTTCTCCTGCCCGTGGACATCTTTGGCCTTTGGACTCTGGGACTTGTACCAGTGGCTTGCTGGGGGCTCTTGGGCCTTCAACCACAGACTGAAGGCTGCACTCTCTCAGCTTCCCTGGTTTTGAGGCTTTTGGACTTGGACTTCTACCAGCTTCTCTCTTCCCCAGCTTGCAGGAGGCCTATCCTGGTACTTTGCCTTGTAATCCTGTTTGTCAATTCTCCCTAATAAACTCCCTTTCGTATATAAATGTATCATACTGGTTCTGTCCATCTGGAGAACCCTAATACAGTAAGTTATACCTCAATTAAATTAACTACCCATAAAAAGACAAAGAAAGAAAAAGGACATAAGGAAAGACCAACAGAAAAAATATTACAGCATGAATATAGGCTATTCACAATCATTAAATTCTAAGTGCACAATAAAATATGAGAAAACATACAACTTTTTAGTAGTAAGATAAATATAGATTTTAAAAGTAAATCACCTTTTAATTAATTCAACAAACTAAAAGCTCAAATACAAGTTGAAAATAAATATGAATATGAAAATTTTAAAAAGTGGTTGTAACAAACAAAAACACTGAATGAAACTAAATTATAGAACTCAAAACTCAATTGAACAGTTTGATACTGAAAAAAATAAGTCAATAGAATATAAAACACAGGATCACACTAAGATAAATGCAAACACTTATGGTATAATAAATTAAGCATTCCATATGCATAGGGAGATATTTATTCAACAAAATGGTTCTTGGAAAATTGATTAAATAAAAATGAAAAATAAAATTATGACCCTGCCTCACTCAATATACCAAAATGAATTCTCATGAAATAATTATAAAATAACTAATTAAATGATCTAGAAGATCATTACTGTAATAGTATGTTTTCTCCTCATCCTAAATGCATTACCACTGTTTCTGAAGCATGGTCTAAATACACGTTTCTCCTCAATAAAAATAATTTCATTATTTTTAAATGAGGTCTTACTTGACAGAGAAAAAGTATTATTTTATTTTGAAACAACTTCAGAAATGCAAACAACAGTATTGGTATTACATACCTGAGAACCATAAGTGATGCAGTAATTTCTGATTAATGATGCAATTTTTGCTTTGGGACAAAGCTAAGTGTGGGATTTTATTGCCTGCTGGAGAAATTTAGGATACTAAATGAGCTGTAGTATTTCATAAAGAAAACATACATTCTGTTTCTCTGTATCTTCCCTCATTTACCTTCATTTTAAACTTGTATTTGTAAGTTAAAGTGGAAATATATTGGCTTTAATTACCCTTAATAACAACAAGTTTAATTAAAACTATTGATGCAAGAAGAGGCAAAGTAACTCTGTTGCAAATGAATTTACTTAAAGTCGCAATTATAACATCATTTTGCTAACAATTGAACAATAGCCTGGTAATCAAATCAATACACATATTGGATGCTTTGTCCTAACCTCCACTGTGATATAATTTGTTTTACGTTACTGAAAGTACTATCCTAGCATTTTCTGTTTATGACATAACAACATGGAATCTTGCACTATACTTTTTTTAACCATAGAGAATAATTTAGTTTATTTTTTCAAAAAGAAAAGCAGCCGGGCCCAGTGACTCACGCCTGTAATCCCAGCACTTTGGGAGGCCAAGGTGGGTGGATAACTTGAGGTCAGGAGTTGGAGACGAGCCTGGCCAACATAGTAAAACCTGTCTCTACTAAAATTACCAAAATTAGCGAGGCATGGTGGCCCGTGCCTATAGCTGAGGCAGGAGAGTTGCTTGAACCTGGGAGGCCAAGTTTGCAGTGAGCTGAGATGGCGCCACTGCACTCCAGCCTGGGCGACAGAGCAAGAGTCCGTCTCAAAACAAAACAAAACAAAACAAAACAAAAGAAAGAAAGAAAATGAGCCAAGACATAAAAACACATGAGGAGAAATGGGCTAATCTTACAATGAGCCCTGTCTTCTTTGCTTACCATCCCTCAAGACTATTCCTATTGTATGAATAGGCAAAGTGCATTTCATTTCCTTCGGTGATACATACTTTCATTTTTTATTCTTTTCTTTTTAAATATGAGATTATTGATCCATTGTTAAATTATATTATGCTCCTAACAGTTGAATGGTCTTTCATGTTTTGCCAGTTAAGAAAGATTTTCTTGCAAAACTTCATTCTTGAAGATTTCCTTTTCAACGAGAATTAGATTTTCCTTTGGGAGAAATTAGATCTTTCCTGACTGTCAAAACATCACACATTTTCTCTTTTGAACCTTAATAATTAAGGAAGGGTGATCTTTGCAAAATTTCCTCTTACTATCTCTTTTCCACAAAATTAATATCAGTCATTAACATGGTGTTTTGATTATTAATTTAGTTATAATATACTGTGGAATTATAACACATGGGAAAATAAAATGCATGATAACAGTCGCACAAAGGCTAAGAGAAGGGAAATAAAGTATATAAGTTTTTATTTACTATTTGAGAAGTGGAATATTAATTGAAGACAGAATTTCATAAATTAAAGAGATACATTGCAAATTCTCAAGTACACACTTTAAAAAGAGGTAGAGCTTACTAGCCAATAAAGAAGAGAATATTCACTAATACCAATATTCAACATAAAACAAAGCAGAGAAAAGTAAAACGGGGAGGGAAAAAAGTAGGCGGGACACATAGAAAACAAATAGAAATTATATTGGTAGTCACATTAATTAATTAATTAATTTTTGATACAGAGTCTCACTTTGCTGCCCAGGCTAGAGTGCAATGGCGCGATCTCAGCTCACCCCAAACTCCACCTGCCTGGGTCAAGCAATTATCCTGCCTCGGCCTCCTGAGTAGCAGGGATTACGTGCACCCGCCACCACACCCGGCTAATTTTTGTATTTTTGGTAGGGACGGTGTTCCACCATGTGGCCAGGCTGCTCTCGAACTCCTGACCTCTAGTGATCCGCCCGCCTCAGCCTGCCAAAGTGCTGGGATTACATGCGTGAGCCACCGTGCCCAGCAATAGTCACATTAAATTTAAATGGCATATCACTATAAATAAAAGGCAAAGATTATAATATTTAAAAGCAAGACTCAATTATATGCTGACGAAAAAGCTTATTTTAAATAAAAAGATAATAGAGTAAAAGTAAAATGAAGAAAAAATTATATATGCAAACACTATTCTAAGGAAAGCTGAAAAAACTATAATGCATCAAAGTGGATTTCAGCAAGGTACATTACCAATGACTAAAAATACTTTTTTTTTTTTTTTAATTTTACTTTAAGTTCTGGGATACATGTGCAGAACGTGCAGGTTTGTCACATCAGTATATATGTCCCATGGTGGTTTGCTGCACCCATCAACCTGTCATCTAGGTTTTAAGCCCCACATGCATCAGATATTTCTCCTAACGCTCTCCCTCACCTTGCCCCACACCGAATGACAGGCCCCAGTATGCAACATTTCCTTCCCTGTGTCCACGTGTTTTCATTGTTCAACTCCCACTTATGAGTGAGAACATATGGTGTTTGGTTTTCTGTTCCTGTGTTAGTTTGCTGAGAATGATGGCTTCCAGCTTCATCCATGCCCCTGCAAATGACATGAACTCATTCTTTTTCATGGCTGCATAGTGTTCCATGGTGTATATATGCCACATTTTCTTTATCCAGTCTATCATTGATGGCATTTGGGTTAGTTCCAAATCTAAAGAGACTAATTTAATAAAGATAAAAGATTAAATTTAAAAAGATGCTATAACAACCCAAAATGTATATGCACTGATTAAAAGATCTTTGGAATAAATAGAAGCAAAAACTTTGAGAACTGGGAAGAAAGGACAAACCACAATTCTAGTTGAAAACTGCAAGACCCTTCTTGTAAGAGTTGAGAGAATAAACGAACAGAATATTAGTAATGATACAGAAGATTGGAATGATTATCAACCTCATTAATTTATGTGGTGATTAATGAGGTTAAAAAAATGGAAAGAAATGACATGTAGCATTAATATGTTTTTGTCCAAAATGAAATTAAATTAGAAAAAAAGAAACCTAGAAAATAAGCAAGTATTTTAAAATTAAACAATATACCACAAAATAACCCATAGCCCAAATAACAAACCACAAGAAAAACTACAAGTTATATTGAACTAATGAAAATGAGAACAAAATAACGCAAAATTTGTTTTAGTCTGCTAAGGCAGTGCTTAGATAAAAATGTAGAGCAGTAAATCTTTACCAAAAAAAGAAAGTTTTAAAATCAGTTATTTAATCTTTCACACTGAGAAATTAGAAAAAGATCAAATTACACAGAAAGTAAACAGAAAGAAAAATAAGAATATAGAAAATTTGAGTGGCACAGTCATCCAACTGGTCTAGCTGATATTTATAGAACAGTTAACCCAACAGGAGAATTTACAATCTTCTCAAGTGCACAAAAGATATCCATCAACATACACCAGCTTCTGGGTCATAAACCAAGCCTTAAGAGATTAAAACAGACTCAAGTCATATATAGTATATTTTTTGATCCAATGCAAAAAAACTAGATATCAATAATGTAAAGATTTTTGGAAAATCTTCCAAACATTTTGAAAACAAACATTTAAATAATCTGTAGGACAAAGAAGTAACAGAAAAAATCAAAAGTTATTTTAAAGTTAATCAAAATAAAAACACAGTCAATCAAAATTTGTGGGACGTTGTTAAAGCAATATGTTGGGTAAATTCATAGTTCTAAATGTACATTAATGTAAAAGAAAAAATGGTGCTTGGATAACTGGGAAGCCATATGCAGAAGAATGAAACTGGACCCCTGCATTTTGCTATATACAAAAATTAGCTCAAGATGGATTAAATATTTAAACGTAAGACCTCAAACTAAAAAATACTACAAGAAACTCTAGGAAATATCCTTATCAGCATCAGCCTTGGCAAAGAATTTATGGCTAAGTCCTCAAAAGCAATTTCAATATAACACAAATTGATATGTGGTACTTAAACAAAAGTGCTTCTGTACAGCAACAGAAACCATCAACAAAGTAAACAGAGAACCTACAGAATTCAAGAAAATATTTGCAAGCTATACATCTGACAAAGATTTAATATCCAGAATCTGTAAGGAAATTAAACAACTCAGCAGGCAAAAAAAAACAAATAACCCCATTAAAAAATGGGCAAAGAACATGAACAGACGTTTCTCAAAAGAAGAAATATAACTGGCAAACAAACACACGCGAAAATGCTCCCCATAACTAATCGTCAGACAAATGCAAATCAAAACCACAGACAGATATCATCTCACACCAGTCAAAATGGCTACTGTTGGAAAGTAAAATTAAATAACTAAATAAATAAATGCTGGCAAAGCTGCAGAAAAAAAAAAGGAATGCTTAAAACTGTTGGGGGGAATGTAAATAAATTCAGCCACTATGGAAAGCAGTTTGGAGATTTCTCAAAGGGCTAAAAACAGAAGTACCATTCAACTCAACAATCCCATTATTGAATAAATACCCAAAGGAAAATATATTGCTCTACCAAAAAGACACATGCACTCATATGTTTATTGCAGCACTATTCACAATAGCGAAGATATGGAGTCAACCTAGATGCCCATCAACAGAGGACTGAATAAAGAAAATGTGGTACATATACATCATGGAATACTACATAGCCATATAAAAGAACAAAATTATGGTTTTTGTAGGAACACTGATTTACCTGGAGGCCATTATTCTAAGTGAATTAGTGCAGGAAAAGAAAACCAAATACTGCATGTTCTCACAAATAGGAGCTAAACTCTGAGTACATATGAACATAAAGATGAGAAAAATAAACCTTGGGGATTACTAAAGAGGGGAGACAGGGAGAAGGGTAAGGGCTGAAAAACTGCCCATTGCGTCCTATGCTCACTATCTGGGTGACAGGATCATTTGTATCCCAAAGCTAAGCATCACACAATATTCCCATGTAACAAATTTGCAGATGTACCCCCTGAATCTAAAATAAAAGTTGAAATTTTATATATATATATAATTATATATAAGCATATATATAGGCATCATATATATAATAAAATTTAAAATTATGTTTATAAGCATTATATGTATATATGCATTATTAATAATACCTCTATGGCAAGTTACACTTATTGCTTCCTTCAAATTAATTTAAAAAAAAAACAAAATAAGAAAGGTTTCACGTTGAGGACTTCAACTTTCAGCTGAGAAAATATAAAAAGAAGAGTAAATTAAAAATAAAATAAGCAAAAAAAGGAAACAATAAAGACAGCAGTGGAAATAAATGTAAGAGAAAACAGAAAATCTGATAAACAATGAAATAAAAAACTAGCTTTTTTAAAAAAATCCATGAAGTTAACATACCTTAGCCAGATTGATTTGGAAAAAAAAATCACTGTTTATCATAAATGAGAGAGTAGATATAACTACAGATTCCACAGATATTAAGAAATACAAAAGGGAACATTATGAACAAATTAATGACAAGAAATCTGACAACATAAGTAAAATTATCAAGTTATTTGAAAGAGACAAATTAACAAAAATTACCTAAGAAGAAATAGATAATCTGAATAGTTCCATATCTATTAAATTATTTTAGTAAAAATAATTCTTGCAATGAAAACTCCTGGCATAGATAGCACAGTGATGAATTTTAACAAACATTTAAGTAAGAAACCATACCAATTCTATGTAAACTCTTGCAGAAAATTGAAAAGAAAAAAATAGTTCCAAACTAATTATAAGACCTACACTATCTTGATACCAAAAGCAAATATATTACAAGAAAAAGATACAGACAAATGTACTTGGACTTACATGAAAATTTAAGCAAGATGTTAGCAAATAAAATTCCACATTATATAAAAGCATAATAGATCATGACCAAGGGAGGTTTACATTAACAAACCCAAGAAGAATAACCACATAAACGTCTTAGTAGATACAGACACATTTGAAAAAAATTCAACATCTTTTTCAGTTAAAGAAAAATCTCAGCAAAATAATAATAGAAGTTCCTAACCTGATAAAGCATATCTCTAAAAAACCCACAGCTATTATATTACTTAGCCAAGGACTGAATGACTTCCTGTATATCCAGGATATGAAAAGAACAGTTTTCACTATCACTATTCAACTCTGAACTGGCGGTGCTACTCAGTACATTAACACAAGAAAAATAAGTAAAGGAAATTATGATTAGAAAGGAAGAAGTGAAGTAGTCTTTATTCACAGTCAACATGATTACCCGTGTAGAAACTGATGAAATGTACAGAAATGCTACTAGAACTAAAACTTGAGGTTAACAAGGCTGTAAGATACAAATCAATATACCAGATAAATTGTATTTTCATATATGGGCAACAATCAAAACTGAAATGTTTGAATGCCATTTACGATACAATAAAAAAATCAAATACTTAAATTTAATGAAATATGTACAATATCTATACACTGAAAAGTGTAAAATTTGTTCAGAGAAACTAATTATCTAAATAAATGGAGACATATATGTTTATGCGTCAGAAAACTCAATAATGTTTAGCTGTCAGTTTCCCACATACTGATCTATAGATTCAATGTAAACTCAATCAAAATTTCAGCAGGGATTTGTTTTGTGAAAAATTGATAAACATATCTAAAATGTGTATGGAAATGCAAAGGAACTCAAATAACCAAAATAATTCTGAAAAAGAATAAGGTTTTAGGACTTACCCTACTTTATTTCAAAGCTTATTCCTTTTTTTAAATATATTTTTATTACACTTTAAGTTCTAGGGTACATGTGCACAATGTGCAGGTTTGTTACATAGGTATACATGTGCCATGCTGGTGTGCTGCACCCATTAACTCATCATTTAACATTAGGTATATCTCCTAATGCTATCCCTCCCCTATCCCCCCACCCCACAACAGGCCCCAGTGTGTGATGTTCCCCTTCCTGTGTCCAAGTGTTCTCATTGTTCAATTCCCATCTATGAGTGAGAACATGCAGTGTTTGGTTTTTTGTCCTTGTAATAGTTTGCTGAGAATGATGGTTTCCAGCTTCATCCATGTCCCCACAAAGGACATGAACTCACCCTTTTCTATGGCTGTATAGTATTCCATGGTGTATATGTGCCACATTTTCTCAATCCAGTCTATCATTGTTGGATATTTGGGTTGGTTCCAAGTCTTTGCTATTGTGAATAGTGCCACAATAAACATACGTGTGCATGTGTCTTTATAGCAGCATGATTTATAATCCTTTGGGTATATACCCAGTAATGGGATGGCTGGGTCAAATGGTATTTCTAGTTCTAGATCCCTGAGGAATCGCCGCACTAGCTTCCACAATGGTTGAACTAGTTTACAGTCCCACCAACAGTGTAAAAGTGTTCCTATTTCTCCACATCCTCTCCAGCACCTGTTGTTTCCTGACTTTTTAATGATTGCCATTCTAACTGGCATGAGATGGTATCTCATTGTGGTTTTGATTTGCATTTCTCTGATGGCCAGTGATGATGAGCATTTTTTCATGTGTCTGTTGGCTGCATAAATTAATTCAAGATGGATTACAGACTTAAACGTTAGACCTAAAACCATAAAAACCTTAGAAGAAAACCTAGGCAATACCATTCAGGACATAGGCACGGGCAAGGACTTCATGCCTAAAACACCAAAAGCAATGGCAACAAAAGCCAAAATTGACAAATGGGATCTAATTAAACTAAAGAGCTTCTGCACAGCAAAAGAAACTACCATC
The DNA here is from genome assembly GCF_000001405.40 of Homo sapiens. Classification (NCBI taxonomy): domain Eukaryota; kingdom Metazoa; phylum Chordata; class Mammalia; order Primates; family Hominidae; genus Homo; species Homo sapiens. The sequence continues at coordinate 147,461,105 of NC_000023.11, forward strand.
AGAGTGAACAGGCAACCTACAGAATGGGAGAAAATTTTTGCAATCTACTCATCTGACAAAGGGCTAATATCCAGAATCTACAATGAACTCCAACAAATTTACAAGAAAAAAACGACCCCATCAACAAGTGGGCGAAGGATATGAACAGACACTTCTCAAAAGAAGACATTTATTTCAAAGCTTATTCTTAAGCTACAGTAATCAACACAGTATGTTACTGGTATATAGGTAGACTAATATTACAATGGACCAGAAGAGAAAATTCAAAAATAGACCCACGCATAGATGACCAAATGATTTTCAGCAGAGGCACAAAGACAATTCAGTAGAGAAAAGATAGTTTATTAAGCAAACAGTGCTCAAATAATTAGATATACATAAAAATGAAAGAAATAATTTAGATTTATATTATACATCCTACATAAAATTTAATTCAGAATGAATTATAGACCTAAATGCAAAACTTAAAACTATAGAATATCTAGGAGAAAATAAGTATGACCTTGGCTTAGGCAAATATTTTTTAGTTATGACATCAAAAGGAAAGTTCAGTTTAAAAATTGTCAGTTGAACGTATTCAAAACTAAAAACTTATGTACTTCAAAATATATTGCTAAGTGAATTCAAAGATAAACAATAGGCTGAGAGGAAAATATTTACAAAACATATATCTAATAAGGAACTTACATTTGAAACATAGAAAGAATCCCCAAAACTTATCAGTAAGAAAACCAACAGCCCTATGAAAAAAATGAGCAAAAGATTTGAATAGGTATGTCAGCAGAGAGGATATAGGGATGGGAAATAAGCATATCGAAAGATGTTCAGCATCATTAGTCATTAAGGACATGCACGTTAAAACCACAGTAAAATATTCATAGCAGCCTTATTTGTAATGGTAAAAAAATATATAAAAACAACCCAAATGTCCATCAACAAGTGATTGTATAATCACACTGTTCTGTATCTATACAATACTACTCAAAATATAAGAGAAATTAACTATGGATATGGGTACTACCGGTGATACATCTGAAGATAACTATGTTCTCTAGAAGAAGCCAGAGATAAAAGGGTATATGTGATTTAATTTTTGCACAATTCTAGAAAATTCAAATTAATCTATATTCATGGAAAGCCCATAAGTCATTGTCTGCAAATGGTATGACCGTGGGGCAACAGCAGGGAGGGATTACTAAGGGGCACAAGAAAACCCTTAATGGGGATGGATACAATGTGCATTTAAACATGTAGTGTACATTTTATGTCAATTATACCTCAATGAGGCTGTTTAAAATGAATAACTATGGTTACCTAAAAAAAAAGATAAGGAGGCTGGGTGCGGTGTCTCACACCTGTAATCCCAGCACTTTGGGAGGCTGAGGTGGGTGGATCACCTGGGGTCAGGAGTTTGAGACCAGCCTGGCCAACATGGAGAAACCCCATCTCTACAAAAAATACAAAATTAGCCAGGCGTGGTGGCACATGCCTGTAATCCCAGCTACTTGGGAGGCTGAGGCAGGAGAATCGCTTGAACCCTGGAGGCAGAGGTTGCGATGAGCCAAGGTCGTGCCATTGCACAACAGCCTGGGCAACAAGAGCAAGACTCTGTCTCAAATAAATAAATAAATAAATAAAAATAAAATAAATAAAATTAAAAAGATGAGAACATTAAAAACAACTTCATGTCAATAATTTTGACAACCCAGATGAAACAAAGTCTATGAAAGATAAATATAATACTGTTGAAGCTCACTTAATAAAAAATACATAACCTTTATATTTAGAAAATAAAGTAAATTTAAAATTAAAAATCAACCACAGGAAATAGGGCTTATGGCAATAGCAATGTGAGGAGGTAAAATGATGCTCCCTTGCAGAAAACAAGTATACAACTCAAGAAAAAAAACCCTTCACACTATTTGAGGGCACAGAAAATAAAAGACAAAGACACATGGAGAATAACTAATCATTTAGTTTTAAAAACTCTAACAACATTAGGTGGGAATGGCACCAAGAAACTCTTGTGAATCTATAAACTTCTTTTCTTGGGTTGCTTCCATCCAAACACCCTCCACTCAGCTGTCAGAGCTGTAGCTTTAGTGATTTGAGACTGACACCAAAAACAGCACCTTTACAGCCAGTGGTCCTGAACTCTAATTGCAGTGGAGGATGTATGCAGAAAACTGAATGCTTTGCTGGCTTAAGAGTGACAGACTCATTTCAGAGCAGAGAGGAAATGCCCAAGGCCTTGTTAGCCCAGCCATGTTGAAATGATTCAGGGTGAATAGGAGACAAGACAAAAATTAAGGGGGTACTCCTGAAAATTAGAGAGCCATGGAAGGGCTGAGACCAACTCACACAACCCTGGATGACTGCCAACCCACGTGTGCACTGAAGAGACACAGAAGTGTCCATCAAAAAATCTAGAGATCTAAAGTACAACATGAAGACTACAGTTAATAATAATATTGTACTGTATACTGGAAGTTTTCTAAAAGTGTATATTTTAAGTGCTCTTACCACAAAAAACGTGGTGACTATATAAGATGATCAATTTCAGTGGCGTAACTGTAGTAACCATTTTATTACGTATATCAAAACATTGTCCTGTACTTTAAATATACACAATTATAAACAATAAAAGCAAAAAGAGATGAGAACTGGATGCAACTTTGAATGTTCCTGAAATGACACATCTCAATCCGCAAAAGGGTGGAGGCCTAATGGCCTCAAGGTGTATGACCACAAACTGTTTCCAATTTAGAGACTGACTATGCAGACACAGGAGCAATCCCCAGGAAGTAAGACTAAAAAATGTATGTAATACCTTTAAAAAAGAAAAAAAAGTTACCTGAGACATCAGGAGCTGCGCAGATGCAGGAAAGAGACTCCGCAATAGTCCAGACAAGTTACTAAAACAAAAATTTAAAAACCAATTGTTTAAAAAATTGAAAAATACACAACAGAAACCAGAAAAGCTGTACTATATTATGTAAAATAACCCGTTTTCAACCAAAAATTGCTAAACATGCAAACAAAAAGGAAAGTGCAACTCATTCAGGAGAAAAAACAGTCAACATTAATTAACTGTACCTAGATACTTAATTTAGCAATAACTTTGAAACAGCCATCATGAATATGTTTAAGAACTGAAGAAAAACACGTTGAAATATCTAGAGGGTAATGTGCTAACAATGAGTTAACAATTAGGACTCACAACAGAGGAAAAGAAACTATAAAAAAGAAACTGTGGGGATTCTAGATTTTAAAGGTACAATAGCTTGCTCAAACCAATGTGATGAAGTGTTTCTCCTACGTTTTCTCTTGGTACTTTCATAGTTTTGAGTCTTAAAATTAAGTCTTTAATGTAGTTTGAGTTGATTTTGATACATGGGGAGAGACAGGGATTTAGTTCCATTCTTCTGCATGTGGACATTCAGTTTTCCCAGCCCCATTTACCGAAGAGATTTTATTTCCCTGAGTGTCTGTCCTTGGCACCTTTGTTGAAAATTAGTTGGCTATAAACGCATGGATATATATTTGGGTCTCTATTGTGTTGCATTGGTGTATGTGTCTATTTTTACACCAGTACCATGCTGTTTTGGTTGCTATTGCTCCACGGTACATTTTGAAGTCAGGTAGTCAGGTAGTGTGATGTTTCTACTTTTTTGTTTGTTTTTTCTGATTTACTCTGGAGTGCTTTGGCTTTTCAGGATCTTTCATGGTTGTATATGAATTTTAGGATTTTTTTTCTGTTTCTCTGAAAAATGTAACTGATGCCTTGATAGAGAGTGCCTTAAATCTGTAGATTGCTTTGGATAGTATGAACATTTTAACAATATTAATTCTTCCAATGCACAAGCATGGGATTTCTTTTCCTTTATTTGTGTTGTCTTCAATTTCTTTCATCAATGTTTTACAGTTTTCATTCCAGAGATCTTTCGCCTCCTTATATAACTTATTCTTAGGTATTTTAATATTTTTGTAGCTATTGTAATGGGATTGTTTTCTTGATTTCTTTTTCAGGATTTTTTGGATAAGACCTCAAAAGCATAGGTAACAAAAAGAAGAATAGACAAATAGGATTGTATCAAACAGAAAAGCTTCTACACAGCAAGTAAAACAATCAACCGAGTGAAGAGACAGGTTACAGAATGGGAGAAAATATTTGCACAATATGTATCTGACAAGGGTTAATATCCAGAATACATAAGTAACTCAAATAACTAAATAGCAAATAATAATAATCCAATTTAAAGACAGGCAAATGATCCTAATAGACATTTCTCGAAAGAAGACATACAAATGGCCAATGGGTATATGACAAAATGCTCAACATCACCAATCATCAGGGAAATGCAAATCAAAGCCACAGTGAGAAATCACTTCACCTCAGTCAGAATGGCTATTAGAATAAAGTCAAAAAATAACAAATGCTGGTAAAGATAGAGAGAAAGGGCAACACTTATACACTGGTTGTGGGAACGTAAATTAGTGCAGCCATTATAGACAACAGTATGAATGTTCCTCAGTAAATTAAAAATAGAACTACCATATGATCTAACAGTACCACTACTGGATACACACACAGACACACACACAAGAAATTAAATCAGTATATCAAAGAGATAGCCATACTTGCATGTTTATTGCAGCAATATTCACAACAGACAAGACATTGAAAATGTGATACACACACCACACACACACACACACACACACACAATGAAGTGCTATTCAGCCAGAAAAAAAATGAAATGTTATTGTTTGTGGCAACATAGATGAACCCGGAAGACATTATGTTAAGTGAAATAAGCCACGCACAGAAGGACAAATATTGCATGATTTCACGCATATGTGGAATCTAAGAAAGTTGAATCGTAGAAGTGGAGAGTAGAATGTTGGTTATCAGGGAATGGGAAGGGTTGGAGGAGGGCAGAAACCAGGAGAGGTTTCTCAATGAGGACAAAGTTACAGTTAGGTAGGAGGAATAAGTTCTGGTGTTCTATTGCATACTAGAGTGACGATAATCAACAATAATGTATCGTGTACTTAAAAATAGCAGAAGGTAGAATTTCAAATGATATCCCAAAGAAATGACAAGTGTTTGAGGTGGTGGGTATGCTAATTACCGTGATTGCATCTTTACACAATGTACACATGTATCAAAACATCACACTGTACCCTATAAGTATGTACAATTATGATGTATCAATTAAGAACCATTTATTATAGCTTTACCTTTCGCATGTTTGACAGTTGAAATTTACACATGGTTTCGGTTATCAATTTCTGATTAACAAATCACTCCAAACCTTCTGGCTAGTCACAATTTATTATTTATAAGAATTCTTCAATCTGGGCAGAATTAGCTGGACAATTCTTTCGCTTCAATGTTGTCTCCTAGGTCTGGAATGTCAAAGATGGTGCTACGGTTGAAATGACGGTGTTCCCTCCAAACTTAATGTTGGAACTTAATCCCCAAGGCAACAGTATTGAGAGGTGTGAGCTTTAAAAGGTGATTAGACCATAAGGTCCATCTCTCTCATGGGATTAAGGCTCTTTTAGAAGATGCTTCAATGCAGTGTTTGGTCCTTTTGCCCTTTCAGTTTCTGCCATGTGAGAACACAGCATTTCTCTCCTCTAGAGGATGCAGCAACAAAGCACCATCTTGGAAACAGAGAACAGCCCTCACCAGATATCAGTCCTGCCCCTGCCTTGATCTTGGACTTCTCAGCCTTCAGAACTACTAGAAATAAATGTCTAATTTTTATAAGTTACCAAGTCCCAGGTATTTTGTTATAGCAGCACTAATCGATTAAGATACATGGCTTTCTAACTCATGACAGATGCCTCATCTAGAATTATTAGAACAGCTGGGGATTGGTCAAGCATCTCTCCATGTAGTTAGCTTGGGTTTCATATCCAGGTTTAGCAACCATCACATGGTGACCAGTCCCCAAGAACAAAAGCTACCCCTTTGGTTAAATGTTAGGCCTGTAACAGGCACATCATTATTTCTGCTGTACTCTGTTAGTCAAAGTAAGTTAGAGGGTAGCTCAGATTTAATACAAGGGAAAAGAGAGTCGAACTTTAGGTGTGAAAAGCGGTACACACATATAGGTAGGGAAGAAATTGATGAAAGCCATATTTGAGGACTATGATACATACTCTAAAATATAGAAGCACAACAAATATATATGAGTAGGGTTAAGCTAGTATATCCAACCAGGTAAATCTTGTTTTTAACTTACATCATCTCAATCACCAGGAGAATTTTTTAATGGAAGTTCTATGTTGGATAGGATAATCCATGTGAGTTCCTCCAACAATCACTGAAATGCCACAGGTTTAACACCATAAAAATTTATTTTCTCTCATTCACGCTAATCTGATGTAGGTTAGATGGCCTTCCACTATTTGGTATTCACTTCATCTGGAATATGTATGTGGTCTCTTGGCAAGGGAAGAAGAGATGGATGACATTATTTCACATGGTTTCGATATGTTTAATCATTTTATCACATACATACTGGCATATGTACTACACAATACATACATATGTATGTGTGTATGTATGCATTTATACACAATATGCACATACATGTTTTCATATGTACATTTGTATATGTTAATATACAGTTATCCCTTAGTATATACAGATAGATTCCAGGACCCTCCTCAGACACCAAATTCTATGGATGCTCAAGGTCTTAATAGAAAATGGCATAGTACAATCTACGTACACCCTCCTGTATACTTTAATTCATCTCTAGATTACTTACAATACCTAATACAATGAAAATGCTACATAAATAGTTGTTATACTTTAATGTCTAGGGAATAATGACAAGAAAAAACAAATACACGTTCACCACAAATGTAACCATCATAGGCCTAACTACACTTTTGATCTGTGGTTGGTTGAATTTGCAGATGTAGAACCTGCAGACACAAAGGGCCAACTGTGTATCACTTTTTAACTCAAATGGATCATTGCATAATATTTTTTTACATAAATGGCTTTTTACCTATATACTTCTGCTACTTTTTCTAACTAAAAGATAAGCTCTGGAGAGCTTTTTAATATTAATCCCTATAGGGTACCTCATTATTCTTAATAGATGCACAGCATTTCATAGTCTAGATATAACCTAATTAAAAAAATAAATTGCCCTAGTCATAGACATAGATCTGTGAGTGGTAGTATATATAGCAGATAAGAATGTTGTATCTGGAGCCAAACTACCTAGGTGTAAATTATGGCTCTCCTGTCTCCTAACTGTAATTTTAGAAAAATTACTTAAACTCACTATGCCTCAACTTCCTCATTTGTAAAAGTATGATTAAAATAGTATCTCTTTCATAGGAATTTCATGAGGATTGAAAATCAGGATAGATTGGATTATTCTTCAGTGATAAATCATCCCCAGTTTAAAGGATTAAAACGACAATCTGTCTTGCTCATACTTCATGCCCATCACAGATCAAGAGTGGATCTATGTTCCTCTTAGGAACTCAGGGTTTCCAGTGAATGGAGAAACCAACATCTTTAATTTCTCCATCTGTGATGCAGATGGAAGGAAGATGGAATCCCGAAAAGGACTCAAAATGGCACATAAATAATCCAGCCTATAAGTAGCACACATCAGTTTGACTCCCAACTCATTATCCAGAACCAGTCACGTGATCTCATCTTACCAGACGGAAACCAGGAAATGCAATGTATCTGTTTCTGAAAGATGGACAGCAGGAAATATTTGATGAAAAGCATTAAAGACCATGAGAAGGAGCAAATGAATTAATTCTTAGCACAGATTCTGGCTCATAGTAAATGCTCAGTAAATGATGACAATTATTTCGAATTTTCCATCATAACAATGCTATAATAAATATATTTGTACACCAATATACATGCAAATGCAAGGATTTTTTTTTTTTTTCAGATTTTCAGCCTTTAGATTACACAGGTACATGTGCAGGTTTGTTTTCTGGGTAAATTGCATGATGCTGAAGTTTGGCGGACAACTGATCCTGTTACCCAGGTACTGAGCATAGTACCCAATAATTAGTTTTTTTAACCCTTGCTCCTCTGCCATCCTCCCATTTCTAGTAGTCACCAGTTTCTATTGTTGGCATCTTTATATCTAAGTGTACCCAAAGTTTAGCTCCCACTTAAAAGTGAGACCATGAGGTATTTGGCTTTTATTCCTGCATTAATTCACTTAAAATGAGGGCCACCAGCTACATCCATGTTGCTGCAAAGGTGAAAGGCTGGAGGAGCCTAATAGGTACCAGATTGGTGAAGAGAACTTCAGTGGACTAATTCTTCAGAATCAGGGTAAATCTATGTTCAGTGAGTACATGGTGCTACTAGTTGAAAATTTGTCTAAAGATCAACAAACACCTTCCATTTTCTTCAAAAATGTGTCCTGTGGTGTTTTTTTCTTCTTACTATAGGCCTTCTGACCATTCTGCCTCTTTGTCTTGTTTTTTCCTAATTTCCCCTTGGTTCTCAATTGAGGTTCTGAAAACAATGTATTACATTTTACACCAAAATCACTTTTGTTCTTTGTCCTATAGCAAGGTAAAGCAAACAGAGAGATGCTTTAAAATGACCATGGTATTTTCAAATGACAGGAATGTATTCATTCAGGAAGCTGTAGTGTGCTGAATTGAATGCAACTGTTTTCCTCAGGGAAATAAGATAAAAAGGGGTCACTAAATATGAGCTTAAGGGACAGTCTATTTCACGTTTGTAACAAGAAGCAGACAGGCTTGTTGATCTACCATTGAACTAGAATTACAGAAGACATAAAGCAATTACTGATGCAGAAACTGGCCATTCGAGACAGCACATTCATTTGCCCTAGGATCTGAAATAACTCTTTCAAAACAAACATTTCCATCAGCAAATTTTAAGCAGTTAAATGCCACCTTTAGCAGTTTTCTATATTAGCAATTTAATGTATATTTACAAATATTGAGGTGTTTAGACTTCAAAAAAGAGAAAGTCATGTTAAAACAAGGCAAGGCATCAAGACTGCAATACACATGTGAAATTATACTGAAATATTAAAATTGTCCAGGTTGTAACAGAAATCCCAGCACTTATCATGGAAATAAGAGGTTAGAAACAGTTCACCTCTAAATGTTGGTAGGACAAGACACCAAGTAGTTCATTTTATCAAAAACAGTAGGAGTTGTTTGCCACAAAAATATTTCTCATGAATGTACTTCCTCACTGCCAAATTAAGCCTGTTAATTGGTCTAAGGATCCAACCAGGTGTAATACTTCTGTGTATAATTTTTCAGAAAGAAAAACACTTTACTTTGACAATCTTTTCCTTGACTTCTCTTGTTCACTAGTTACTAAGTCCTGAAAATTATTTTGAAACAAATCAAAGCAACATTATTTTCCTTATCTTTCTATAAGCATTGCCTTCACCCTAAACCAGCACACACACCCTTACACATCTTGGTGAGTTCAGTGATCTCCAAAGTGGTTTTCCTGCATGTAGTCTATCATGCACATTTCTGGCCAAAATCATTTAATAGACGTTGAGCAGCTTGCATACATCCTATGTGCTTGGGATCCATTAATGATCAAAACAAAGTTTCCTAACCCCATGGAACTGACATTCTAGCAGTAGGAGATAGATAATAAAAATACACATAATAAATAATAAATCATATTGTGTTATAAGTGCTATAGAGAAAAAAGAAAAAGAGGAAAACACATATGATCTTTCCTCAGTAACATTTTTCATCATGCTATGTTTCCCCTTCCCCTATTTATCAGCCTTCAATATCTCCCCATTCTCCATACGTTTAAATGGAACCTCTTAGTCTGTCAGTGGCTTCTTTGTCTGTCCCACACTGAGGATTCCACAACCACTTCTTTTCCATCCTTATCCTCTATTATACCCCATACACAGGTTTCTGCTCCAGCAAAGCCAGTGGGGCTCCAATTAAGGAGCTTAGCACCATCACCATCAAAACAAAAAAAAAAAACAGATAAAATAAATGAGCACTTACTATGTGTCTGGCATTGTACTAAACTCTTTACAAGGACTACCTCATTTAATCCTCACATACTTACACGGCCCAGTGTGATAGGTATTATCATCATCTTCATTTTGCAGATGAGGACATTGTAGTACAGGGACTAACTAGTTCAAGATCACACAGGTCAGTAAGTTAGTGAGCTAGCATTTGAACCCAAATCTGACACGAAAGACCATATTCTTCACCAGTATGCCTTGGATTTTAACTACCTGAAGCCATTGCACAGGAGCAGGGGTTGGCATTTTCTATAAAGGGTCAGATAATAAATGTTTTGGGCCTTTCGGGCCATACAGTTGTCTGTAAACTACTCAACTCTGTCCCTATTGCTTGAAAACAAACACCAACAATATGTAAATGAATGTATATGGCTGTATGCCAATAAAAACTTATTTACAAAAACAGGTGATGGGAGGAACTTGGCCCATGGGCCCATAGTTTGCCAATCCCTGTACTAGACTGAGCACTCCTAGTCATAAGGTCAATGATCATGTCTTATGCATCTTGTTAATCCCAGTGCCTCTACAGTGTTTGGAAACTGAGGCACAGAGTCCACAAAGTTTGTAAGTGATGGATCTAGGATGCTGACCCAAGCAGTTTGACTCTAGAGCTTGTGTTCCTAACTAGCAAGCAAGCCTGCCTTTCAAATATTTAATAATATCTTATAAATATCTTATAGAGAACTTGGCATGCAGTAAGTCCTCAAAAATAAGTGGCTATTATCACCATAGTTATCTAAAAAGGAATCACGTAAAAGGGCAGATTAGTGAAGGCCATGATAGCTAACTTAAAAGCAAAATACAAACAAACTTTAAAAAGGAAAAATAGTGCCTGACAGAATCTAAAGAAATCAGTGTCAATCCTGATGGGGAATACATTCAGGAACAATACACAAAAGACCAAGAAAATATGATGGCAGTGTTCATCCTTGCCATCACTTCAATAGCAGAATGAGATTAACCTCATCCGTAAACACCAAGTTTATTGTGCGTATAGTCCAAAGTATCTGGCACTAACCCAGGGTTAGCTCAGAGTCTTGTAATCTTAACAAACACAAGGGCATGACCCAGGAACCAGACCAAGGCCTTGAAATGTTCTCCTTGGAGCAAGATGCAGTAATAATGGTATGAGAATTAACTGGCTCCTATGTACTCTCTTAGCGCTATTTTTATATTTATATGCCATCACCTGCCTGGATGTGAACTGTAGCTTTGCTTTGGGTTCTCACTTTCTTGGATGGGCACACAAAAATGCCCAGTATCAATTCAGTCTGAAACTTTCTCCAGTGAAAATGCTGGCTAGTCATGTTCAAGATAATAAAGTTGGTATTTCTGAATTATTTACATTAGCCGTCTTCTATACCCTCCAACTCATAACTGTTCATTCAAGGTTATCATGATTATATTCAAAATATATGTATTTTTCTAGAGTTAAGGCAGATAAATGAAATAAAATGACATCTGAAATACTGAAATACTATGACTTATTTGAATGTAGCCTGACATTTTTCTTTTTTTTTCTTTTTTTTTTTTTTAAATACAGATAGGGTTTTGCCATGTTGGCCAGGCTGGTCTTGAACTCCTGAGCTCAAGCAATCCGCCTGCCTTGGCCTCCCAAAGTGCTGGGATTGCAGGCATGAGCCATCAGGCCCGGTCATATTTCAAAAACCAATTTCAAAAACCATACTATCTGAGGAGGTTTTCCCTAGGTTCATCTCTATATACAAAAAGTTTGTCAGCTTTTATTGAAAATAAATGCATTATTGAGTATATATTCAGTTCTCTCTATACTGTTAATATTGTATTCTCTGTGCAACAATCAACAATCCTTTTTGAGCACTTACTATGTGTAAAAATACTGAAAAAAAAAACCTGGGACCTGCTCCAGAGTATTTTACAATCTTATAGGGAAGAGAAATGTGTATGTTGATTCATTTTTTTTTTAAATGTGGTACTTGCCGTGATAATGGGAAGTTGGAGATGTTAGAACACAGAGAAGTCTCTTGGGTTTTGTGATGGATTTGGTGAAAGAAAAGTGGTTTGAGAACTCTTCCTACAGGAAGGGACACGTAATACGAATATTGAAGGGTGAATAAAAATTAGCCAGGTAAATGAGACCTTTCCAGGCAAAAGGAGCTTCAGTGGGAAAAAGCAGAAAAGTAGGAATGAATATTTTGATTACAGGAAAAAAGCCTCTTAGAACCACAGGATGATATAGCTTGAGAAAGAAAAAAGGAATGAGATACAATATTGGAGATGTGCTAGGAGTCCAGATCCATTCATTCATTTTTTCCTATATTCCTTTATTCATTAAATAAGCTTTTAATTGCATACCTCCTATTTCAAAGAAAGGAATCAAACAGTCTCAACCCCTGGCATTGCAATGCTTACAATTTAGTGGAAATAATTAAAACAGGTAATTATCGAACAGCACAATGAGCACTTTGTATGTCTAGAAAATTTTTTATCCCCCAACCTTAATGCAGCTGGGTCTACTTCATTATGCTCAGCTCATATATTAATTCCTTAAGAGATTTTCTTTGATCATCCACCACGAAATAAGTCAGTCCATCCCTCCTGTGCTTTTCATGTGTTCTATTGTGACTTAGCAGTTATCAAAATTTATGAATATTAGGCCAACTATGTGAAATTGACATTTTTATTGGTCAAATGTCAGTAATTTCACCTGATTCACCCTAATATATTTTGAACTCAATATACTTTTATGCATGTGTTTACTTGTTTTTGTCGCCCTTTGTCTCTATTAAAACAAAGGCCATATCTATTTTGCTCACAATTATATTCTGAGAATATAGTATAGTACCTCATATGGTATAAGTATTCAATAAATGTCAATTGATATTACTATTACTGCTGTTATTATTATCATCACTCTTATCTTTATAGCTTTACAAATATTTTGGAGGGCTAATACGTGCTAAAATGGTAGAATTCAAGTAATATGGGAACACATAAGGGGGAGATCTAACTCAGAATTTTTATGGGTACATTAGATTAAGATAAAGAGAGTTATTGAAATTAAGGCCCAAAAGATGGCTGGTAGTCCAGAACAAGAAAGAGGTTAAAGGAAAGGGAAATTCTAAGTGGAAAAGTCATCATGTGCTAAGGCTGACACATGAGAGTGGACATGGCCTCCATACTGAGAAATGAACAGGTCTTTGTGGCTCATGGGAAGGTCATGGGAAGAGTTAGAGGACATAAAGTCAGAGGGGTGGGTAGGGCCCAGATGGTTAAATTCCTGTAGGCCACAGTAGAGTTTGAGTTGTAGTATAATGGTGACAGGAAGTCATTGGATTTTGGAGAAGAAGGTGTCTAAGTTCATTCAGTCTTGTCTAACAAATACCACAAACTAGGTGGCTTTTAAACAATAGAAATTTATTTCTCACAGTCTGGAGGCTGAGAAGTCCAAGATCAAGGTGCTATTAGATTTAGTGTCTGGTGAGGACCCACATTCTGGTTCATAGATGGCACCTTCTTGCTATGTCCTTGCATGGCGAAAGGAGCAAAAGAGCTCCTTCTTGGGCCTCTTTTATAAGGGAATTAATCCCATTCATGAGGGCTCCACTCTCATTACCTAATCATGGCTCCCAAAGGACCCACCTCCTAATACCATCATCTTGGAGGATACAATTTCAACATATGAGGCTGAGGCGAGTGGATCACCTGAGGTCAGGAGTTCAAGACCAGCCTGGCCAACATGGCGAAACCTTGTCTCTACTAACAATACAAAAATTAGCCGGGTGTGGTGGTGAGCGCCTGTAATCCCAGCTACTCTGGAGGCTGAGGCAGAGAGAACTGCTTAAAACCCAGGAGGTGGAGATTTTAGTGAGCTGAGATCGCGCCCCACAATCCACTTGGGCGACAGAGTGAGACTCCGTCTCAAAAAAAAAAAAAAAAAAGAATTTCCACATATGAATTTGCAGGAGATAAATATTGAGACTATAGCAGAAAGTGGCATATTATTTACATTTTAAGTCTAGTATTGAAGTTCTGTGTGTAGAATTAATTCTAAGAGTAAAAGAATGAAAGATCTCTTAGATGTTTATAAGTGATCCAGTCTAGTGAGTGTATAGCTGACAAGGAGGGCTAGATCAGCAAGTTATTCAGGGCTTTGTGTATGGTTTAGAAGTGAGAGAGCAAGGTTTCTGGACTGGGGAACTTGATAGATGATAGATTCATTTACTGAGATAGGTAATACTAGATGAAGAACAGGTGAGGGTAAGAGTTGTTGAGATCAGTTCTGAACATGTTAAGACTCCAGAGTTTCATTTTTTTTTTAGTGGAGTAAAACTTTCTTCTTTTTAAATTCAACACAAACAAGATGCTGAAAAAGTCCTTGCCATCTCTGACAGAAAAGCAGAGCAGCTCTGTTTCATGAACGACAGCACAATTAAAGCTAAAATAATATAAAAATAATTAAATAAATCCCTTTTACTGTATACACTCAAAGCAAGAAAGAGAAACAACAGTTTTGTTTTTTCTCTGCTAGCCAGAAAATGTGTTTCTTTTAATTTGGGCTTTGAAGTTCAGTGTACCCCACATCTGTGTGCATGTTTGTGCGGCTATGTGTGTGTGATCTATGCAGTGTAGAAACCCCTAATCTTTTCATCTAGTTCGCCTCATCATTAAGCTACTTAACCAATTATAATACTATTATGTCACATTGAACAAGCTTACATAATTGCTCTTTGAAATACTAGGAACATTGACACATGTATTTGGCTTGTAAAGGACTGAAATATTACAGATAATATTATCCAGCTTTTTTTTTTTAAAAAAAAAAAGGTTCTTAATAAATTGATTGAGTTCCAGAGCGACGGTCACTTTTTAAAAATTTCTTAAGCTGACTAGAAGCAGGACGAATATCTTCTGATTTGGCCAAAGATATGACAAGTATTTCATTTCCCTTAAAATTTGAGGGATAAGTGTATAAGGGGCCCTTTGCTGTCAACTGTTTTCAGCTGAACTCGTCATGAAGTTTGTTATAATATTGCCACTCAGCCAGCAGAGGGCACTTTAAACACCTCTACATCGCTTGGGCAGCAAACGTAGATGATGCAGAAACACAGTGTTCGCCCAACATCAGGAAGAGCCCCTGCGATTTCCTTTTGGAATTCACAAAAATATAGAAAATATGTGTTACTCTCACTTTCAGAACATCTTCTGGTCCTCACTCATGTACCTTGTGCTCTTCTGCCATTTCTTCTTTGAGGCCTACATTGGCAAAATGAGGCAAACAACGAAGGCTGAATAGTGTTGGAACTGAGGAGGAAGCCATAGCTCAGGGTCATCAAGAAAAATAATAGATAAAAGAAAATGGCACAAGGAATCACACGTGGTGCAGCTAAAACAAAACACAACAAAACAAGAGCAAACACAAAACCCAAGGCAGCTTAGGGATAATTAGGTTGATTTAACCCAGTATGTTTATGATCCTTTTAGGGTGAGCACTCACTGAGTGCACGTCCATCTCCAAGCACTGCTGCTGGAAGACCCCATTCCCTCTTTATCTGTCAACTCTAGGACAAAGGATAACAAAAGCAAGCCAGAGGCAGAGGAGACTAATCGAAGGCAAACAAAGGCTATTAACACATAGGAAAAAATGTATTTACTAAGTGTCACATTTCTCTAAGATGAAAGGCTTTTACTCTAGAAACTGTGCGAGCACACACACACACACCATCCTTTCTAACTTTATGGACACTAAACTGGAGCCAATTGAAAAAATAAAAATGAAAGAGACACAGGGTGTATACCTAGAACAATGCTTTTGCAGAAGCTAAAGCCTTTTTAAAAGATGTTAGCTGCTGTAGCCCCCATGAGAAAAGGTGTCTTAATCATCCTTATGAAAACAGATGTAAACAACTATATTTCAACTAACTTCATCTTCACTGCATAGCCTCAGGCTAGTGAGTTTGCCAAAACCAAAGCGGGTGAATAGGTTCCCAAGGTTCTTCCTGGGAGGATGGAAACAGTGCAGCCCAGGTCCCACGGGGGCAGCTCCATCCCAGAGCATTTCTGATAGTTGAACTGTAATTTCTACTCTTAAATGTGATACGAAGCATTATCCTTTTGTTCGGTTGCCCCGGGCTTTTGAACAGAAGAGTAAATACAGAATCAAAAAGATAAACGCTCAACCGAACAATGTGAAAATGGGTTCTGTAATAGCTGTAAAAAGGCCTGGCCCAAGACCACTGTGAGCTAGAAAAGGGAGAGAGATAGTGGGAAAAGAGGTGAGCCGCAGATCGATTCGGTAGACGGTGTGTATGCCCCTCTCTATTTGACTTCACATACACTCATAACTTTCCAAATAGAGTTACTTTCTTAAACCATACAAGAATTGGAAGAACCAGTTTGATTTGTTAAACCGTTATTTCTTACAAGCTTTACCTGCTGTTACAGTAACTACTGTTAACCTAATAGAAAATTGAGTACTTTGAAGTAGGGTCATACTATAACAAAATCTTAAAATATTTGGCATTGGTTTAGAGGGTAAACGACAGGCAGCAGGTGATGAGGAAATAGACATAAGAAGCTAAACAACACCAGCATGGCACATGTATACATATGTAACTAACCTGCACAATGTGCACATGTACCCTAAAACTTAGAGTATAATAAAAAAAAAAAAAAAAAAGAAGCTAAACAAATTGGAGTGGTGTATCATTCCAGAACAAGATACTGAGCAAAACTATTGCCTATGATAACTTGTAAGACGCAACATGTACCTATTAAACTGGTAGCTCTTGGAGAAAAATGGCTTTAAAAGCATTAGTCTGTATGCATGGCTGCTTCTTGTGTTTGGCAAGGTGATAGTAACTTGATAGGTTTAGTTAGGCATTACAAGAAAATTATGAGCTCAGAAAAGAATTGCGAATTTTCCAAAAATTACTTATTTGTATTCATCTATGAAAAACTATTGGGTCCTAAATTGGCACCAGCAAAAAGCGTATTGCAAAACCTGGGCATCTCCCATGAAAGAGAATGTTCCCCCTACATCCATGATAAAGCCAAGTACCAAAGACCACCAGAGAAACTCCTATAATAAATTAGGTTTTAAATTTGTTGCAACAAGGAAGACTGCACACCATGAAGAACCATAGGATGTCTCAGGAAGAGGAAGTTAGGATAGCAGCCTTCTCATGCTGCAATAACAAATACCACAGACTGGGTGATTTAAACAACAGCAGTGTATTCACTCATTTCAAGGTGTCAGCAGGGCTGGTTTCTTCTGTACTTTCTCTCCTTGGCTTGCAGATAGCCACCTTCTTTCTGTGTCCTTACATGGACTTTCTTCTGTGTCCAAGTGCCTGAGATCTCCTCTTTTTATAAGGACACCAGTCATATTGATTAGGGCCTACACAAAACACCTCATTTTTACTTAATCACTCTTATAAAGACTTTATATCCAAATACAGTTACATTCTGAGGTACTGTAGGTTAGGACTAGGTACCAGGGATTACCACAACAAATTAATTTGGGATGAGACAAATACTCATTCCATAACTGATGGGAATGTTTGGGTTCATGCCTTTGAAGACGTGGGGCTCTGTTCCGGATTGAATTCTGTCAGGAAAGAGACGTCCTTATGTATTTAGTATTTTAAGTTTTATTTAGGTGGTAGAATAAACGAAGTGGGGCCAGAGTTACCATTGGTAGTCATTTTACCAGGAATGGAAGATATTTAATTATATTTTTGTGCATGGTGTTCTTGCTTTGTGTCTGTGTTTAGTCATGATTACTCAGTGGTCTTGTTTTTGTCTTGTTTCATCAAAGTCATGGAGTGATCCCTTTTCAAATGTTGTTGATATTGTGTAGAATTGTTTATTTCAGCAGGGAACACCATGGACTAGCTATTTAGCAAGTGAGCACTAGGCCTAATTTTAGTTACCAGGCTTGCTACCAGCTGTCAGCTGTCAGTGCGGTTTCTTTCTCACCCGCTTCAGATGTGGCAATGGAGACAATGAACAGTGAAGAATATCCCAGAATGTGTAGCCAGGGGCCACTGAGAGTAATGGACAAAGGACTTCCACCAAAACAGAAGAATCAGGAGCTAATCATAGAACTTTTCTCACTGCCATGGCAAAGAAATCTCACAATGCCTGTCCAGCAGAATTCCACCATTGCTCTGGATCAGTGACTGCTACATGTATCCTAGGTCTCCCTTTGTAAATGGGATTTCTTTTTTTCAATGTGATCAACCTGCCCTACTCCATCATGGTACATTGGGTATTCTGGGGAGGAGGTACTGATAATTCAGCTTGTCATTTGAAGTCATGAGTAGCCAGAACCTAAGGAACCATATCAAGAGCTGACTGAGCTGGATTCAACGACTGCATGAGATTTTGGGGTATCTCATTCAAAGAGATGTCAAATGTGTGTTACATATCAGAAAAAAATGAAAGAATATTTTAACCAGAAGGGAAAACATGGCAGAAACTACGAACAATTCACATAATGGTAGACTGCATTTCCCAGCTTCACTTGCCTTGTGTGGTTATAAGAATGAGATCTAGCCAACAAAATGTGAGAAGAAATGCAGTGTGCCAAATACACCGCAGATCCATTAGGATCTCTCAAGCATATTTATGTTCTTTCCCCCTTCTAGCTTATTTGGATGGAAATTACTATGGAGAGACCAAGGAGGTCAAGTATAAAGATGGCAAGCCTTTGGCAGCCTGGGCCACTGAATGATTGTGTGGAGGAGAACCAACTTCCCCAACCAGAAACATCCATCTTTCATTTTTAAATGAGCAAGAAATAAATCTATATTCTGACTAAGCCATTATACATTTGAGTGTAATATTTGGGTATTCTTGTTGTTGTTTTCTTCCAAATTTTATTATAGGTTCAATGGTACATGCGCAGGTTTGTGATATGTGTAAACTGTATGTCACAATGGTTTAGTGTACACATTATGTTCTCACCCAGACAATAAACATAGCACCTGATAGGTGGTTTTTGCATCGTTACCCTCTTCCCACTCTCCACCCTCAAGTAGGCCTAGATGTCTGTTGTTCCCTTTTTTGTATCCATGAGTACTCAATGATTTGCTTCCACTAATAAGTGACGACATGCAATATTTGGTTTTCTATTCCTGCTTTAATTCACTTAGGGTGATGGCCTTCAGCTGTATCCATATTGCTGTAGGACATGATTTCAGCCTTTTTTTTGGCTGTGTAGTATTCCATCATGTATATGTGCCACATTTTCTTTATCCAGTATGCCGCTGATGGGCATCCAGGTTGATTGTCTTTACTATTATGAACAGTATTGTAATAAACATACATGTTCATGTGTCTTTATGGTAGAACAATTTATATTCCTTCGGGTATATACCCAGTAATGGGATTGCTGGGTTGAATGGTAGTTCTAAGTTCTTTGATAAACGGTCAAACTGTTTTCCACAATGACTGAACTAGTTTACATTCACACCAGTAATGCATAAGCACTCCCTTTTCTCCACAACCTCGTCAGCATCTGTTATTTTTTGACTTTTTAATAATAGCCATTCTGACTGGTATAAGATGGTATCTCATTGTGGTTTTGATGTGCATTTCTCTAATGATTAGTGATGTCGAGCGTTTTTTAATATGTCTGTTTGCCACTTGTATATCTTCTTTTGAGAAGTATCTGTTCGTGTCAGTTGCCCATTTTTTAATGGGGTTATTTGTTAAGTTGTTTAAGTTCCTTATGGATTCTGAAGTTAGACCTTTGTATATGTACAGATTGTGATTATTTGCTCCTATTCTGTAGGTTGTCTGCTTACTCTGTTGATAGTTTCTTTTGCTGTGCAGAAGCTCTTTAATTTAATAAGGTGTCAGGCATCAATTTTTGTTATTCTTACCATTGCTTTTGAGGACTTGGTGATAAATTATTTCCCAAGGCTGATATCCAGAATGGTGTTTCCTAGGTTTTTATAGTTTTAGGTTTTGCCTTTAAGTATTTAATCCATCTTGAGTTGATTTTTGTGTACGGTGAAAGGAAGGGATCCAGTTTCATTCTTCTGCATAGGCTAGCCAGTTATTCAAGCACCATATATTGCATAGGGAATCCTTTCCTATTGCTTGTTATTATCTACTTTGTCAAAAGTCAGATGGTTTTAGGTGTGTGGTTTTATTTTGGGGTTTTCTAAGCAGTTCCATTGGTCTATGTGTGTTTTTGTACCAGCTGTTTTGGTTAATTTAGCCCCGTATTATAGTTTGAAGTTAGGTAGTATGATGCCTCTGGCTTTGTTCTTTTTGCTTAGGATAGCTTTGGCCATTCAGGCTCTTTTTAGGTTCCAAATGAATTTTAGAATACATTTTTCTAATTCTGTAAAAAATATTGTTGCCAGTTGGATAGGAATAGTGTTCAAATTGCTTTGGGTAGTATGGCCGTTTAAAAAAATATTGATTCTACCCATCAAGGAGCATGAAATGTAACTCCCTGGTTAACTGGATTCCCAGGAATTTTATTGTTTTTGTGGCAATTGTGAATGGGATTGCATTCTCGATTTGGCTCTCAGCTTGGACGTTTTTGGTGTATAGTAATGCTGCTTGATTTTGTACATTAGTTTTGTTTTCTGAAACTTTGCTGAAGTCGTTCATTAAATCTAGGAGTCTTTGGGCAGAGACTATGGGGTTTTCTAGGTATAAAATCATATAATCTGTAAAGAGAGATTGTTTGACCTTCCTCTCTTCCTATTTGGATGCCTTTTATTTTTTTTTTTTCTTGCCTGATTGCTCTGGGTATCATTTCCAGTACTATGTTAAGTAGGAGTGGCAAGTGTGGGCATCTTTATGTTGTTCTGTTCTCAAGGGGAATGTTTCCAGCTTTTTCGCATTCAGTGTGATGTTGATAGTGGGTTTGACATAGATGGCTTTTAATACTTTGAGGTTGTTCCTTCGATGCCAAAATGTTGAGGGTTTTTAACATGAAGCAATGTTGAAAGCCTTTTCTGTACCTATTGAGATGATCATATGGTTTTGAGTTCTGTTTATGAGATGAATCACATTTCTTAATTTGTGTATGTTGTATCAACCTTGCATCCCAGGAATAAAGCCTACTTGATCGTGATGAATTATCTTTTTGATGTACTGCTAGATTTTGTTTGTATTTTGTTGAGGATTTTTGCTTCTATATTCATCAGGGATATTGGCCTGAGTTTTTTCTTTTGTGTTGTTTCTCTGCTACGTTTTGGTATCAAAATGATGCTGGCTTCATAGAATGAGTTAGGGAGGAGTCCTTCCTCTTACATTCATTTTGGAATAGTTTCAATAGAATTGGGAACAGATCTGCATTATACATCTGGTAGATATTGTCTGTGAATCTGTCTTGTCCAAGGCTTTTTCTGGTTGGTAGGTCTTTTATTTACTGATTCAATTTCAGAACTTGTTATTGGTCTGTTCAGAGTTTCATCTTCTTCCTGGTTAAATCTTGGGAGGTTGTAAAAGTTTCCAGTAATTAATCCATTTCTTCTAGGTTTTCTAGTTTTGCTCATAGAAGTATTTGTAATAGTCTCTGAGTGTTTTTTGTATTTCTGTGGGGTCAATGGTAAAGTACCTCTGTTATTTCTGATTGTGTTTATTTGGATCTTCTCTCCTTTATTAGTCTATCACTGGTCTGTCAATCTTATTTATTTTTTCTGAGAACAAACTTTTGTTTTTGTTGATCGTTTGTATGACTTTTCACATCTCAATTTCTTTCAGTTCATCTCTGCTTTGGTTATTTCTTTTCTTCTGCTAGCTTTGCAGTTGGTTTGCTCTTGTTTTCCTAGTTCCTCTAGATACGGTGTTAGGTTGTTAACCTCAGATCGTTCTAACTTTTTGATGTGGGCCTTTAGTGCTATAAACTTTCCTCTTAACAATGCTTTACCTGTGTCCCAGAGATTCTGGTATGTTTTATCTTTGTTTTCATTATTTTCAAAGAATTTCTTGATTTCTGCCTTAACTACATTGTTTACCCAAAGGTCATCTGGAAGCCGACTGTTTAATTTGCATGTAATCATATGGTTTTGAGAGATCTTCTTGGTAGTGATTTACATTCTCATTGTGCTGTGGTCCAAGTGTGTGTTTGGTATGATTTTTTTTTAATTTGTTGAGAATTCCTTTATGGCTGAGCTTGTGGTTGATTTTTGAGTATGTAATGTGAAAATATGAAGAATATATATTCTGTTATTTTTGGGTGGAGTGTTCTGTTAGGTGTCGGTTAGGTCTATTTGCTCAAGTGTCGAGTTTGGGTCCCAAATGTCTTTGTTAGTTTTCTGCATGGATGATCTAATACTCTCAGCGGGGTGTTGAAGTCTCCCACTATTACTGTGTAGTTATCTAATTATCTTTGTAGGTCTCTAAGAACTTGTTTCATGAATCTTGGTGCTCCAGTGTTGAGTGCATATATATTTAGGATAATTAAGTATTCTTGTTGAATTGAAGCCTTTATTATTACGTAATGCCTTTCTCTGTCCTTTTGATTGTTGTTGTTTAAAGTCTGCTTTGGCTAAAATAAAAATAGCAACCCCTGCTATTTTTTGTTTTCCATTTGCTTGATAAATCTTCCCCCATTCCATTACCTTGAGCCTATGGGTGTCATTCCATGTAAAATGTGTCTCTTAAAGACAGTGTACTGTTGGGTTTTGCTTATCAAACTTGCCCCTTTGTGCCTTTTAACGGGGACATTTAGCTCATATACACTCAAGGTTAATATTGGTATGTGAGGATTCGATCCTGTCATCATGTTGTTAGCTTGTTGTTATGTCGACTTTATTATGCACTTGCTTTGTGTTGCCAATGGTCTATGTACATAAGTGGGTTATTTTGATGGCCAGTAACAATCTTTTGTTTCCATGTTTAGCACTCCCTTAAGGACCTCTTGTAAGGTAGGTCAGGTTGTAGCAAATGCCCTTGGCATTTGCTTGTTTGAAAATGATTTTATTTCTTTTTTAGTTATGAACTTAGTTTGGCTAGATATAAAATTCTTGGTTGAATTTTCTTTTATTAATGCTTAATACAGGCCCCCAATCTCTTCCGGCTCGTAGGGTTTCTGCTGAAAAGCCCACTGTTAGCCTGATGGGGTTCCCTTTATAGGCGACCTGCCTCTTCCCTCTAGCTGCCTTAAATGTTTTATTTCACATTGACCTTGGAGAACCTGATGACTACATGTCTTGGGGATGATCATCTTGTATAGCATCTCATACAGGGGTTCTCTGAATTTCCTGAATTTGAATGTCAACCTCTCCAGTGAGGTCGAGACAATTTTTGTGGACAATATCCTCAAATATGTTTTCCAATTTGCTTGCTCGCTCTCTCTCCCTGTCTTTCAGGGATGCCAGTGAGTAATAGGTTTAGTCTCTTTACATAATCCCATATCACTCAGAGGTTTTGTTCACGCTTGCTTTTTTTAAAATTTTTTTCAGACAGGTAATTCAAAGAATCAGTCTTTGAACACAGATTCTTCATTCAGTTTGGTCTATTCTGCTGTTAATACTTTCATTTGTATTATGAAATACTTGTAGTATTTCAGCTCTATCAGATCAGTTTGGTTCTTTCTTAACATGGCAATTTTGTCTTTTAGCTATTTTATGGTTTTGATTCATTAGATTCCTTGGATTTGGTTCCAACTTTCTCCTGAAACTCTATGAAGTCATTGCCATCCAGATTGTCAATTTTATTTTTGTCATTTCAGCCTTTTAGTCTGGTTAAGAACCATTGCTGGGGAGCTAGTGCTATCATTTTGAGGTAAAAAGGCAATAGGGCTTTTAGATATGCCAGATTTTTTGCACTGGCTCTTTCTCATCTGTGTGGGCTGATATTCCTTAATGTTTGAAGTTGCTGTCCTTTGGATGGGGCTTTTTGCTTTCATATTCTTTAATGTCCTTGAGGCTTTGACTGTGGCATATTATGTGTTCAGTTAACTAGCTTCAATTCTGGATGATTTCAGTGGCCCAGTGCTCAGCTTAGCACTCCTTGGTTGCATGCTCTAACTAGGGGGCTGGGACCAGGTCCATGGCTTTGTTCTGTAGCCCCTGTAGTTAAGTACCTGCTATGCTGGGGGGCCCAAGGTGTTACCAGTCCACTGGTAACAACACTCTGATGGGAGGTGCTGGCTGTGGGGTCTGCATTCATTCATATGTGCTGATGGCAGCAGGACAGTGGGGTCTGCACCTGTGCACCGGTGGGGGTGGAGTGTCTGCAATGTCCACATACATGCATCAGCAAAGCAGTGAGGGGAGGCCGCAATTAACTGCACACCAGCAAAGCTGTGGTTGAATGCAACAGGTGGGTGCATGCTGGCAAATGCCTGTCTGCAGAAGCTCTCTGACAGTCAGGCAGGTGCTGCTGGCAAAGGAGCTATGGTGGTGGCCAATTGCAAGTGCCCAAGTTGGGTACCTGAGGCTGCATTGCAAGTGGGTGCTGCCAGGCAGGGATCCTGGAAGAAGCCAGCAGATGCAGTGGGGGTGGGGGGTGGGGGTTGGTGCTCAGATTAGACCGGCCCCATCCCACAAGCAAGACAGCTCTGCTTTGTCCAGGTCCAACAGTTAGCAAAGGCCACAGTCACCTACAGGAACATGGTAAGTCTTGAGGAATGGGTAACCTTGGTTGTGCTCCACTGCAGCCATTCCCACACCAAACCCTCTGGACTCCATGCAGGCTGGAGTCCTGTCCCTGCCAACTCTCCATGTAGCTCTCCCTGCCAGCTTAAATGTCCATGTGGATCATACACAGGGGCTCCTGCAGCTAGGATTCCAGAGGTCTGTGATGGGCGTGAGCTACACCATGCCTCTTTTACTCATCCCTTCCTCAGGAACCACTTGGAGCCAGGAATGAGTCCTGGAGCTCGGAAACCCTGTGCAGGTTCCCAGCTTCTTCCTACTTTAGCCCAGGCTTTGTGTACTTCCTTCATCCACTCCGAATTCCTTCCTTCTGAAGATTTGCTCAGAGTATGCCAGTCTTGAGGGTCTCTGGCTCAGAGTATGCCAGTCTTGGGTTGGGTAGAACTCTCAGTGTAAGAAGCTCTTGCAGGCTGCATCTTGTGAACCATTTTAGCTCTTTTCCACTTGAGTGTATATTTGTTATAGCAGCTAGTGATGCCCTAATCTCAGCCCTGTTTAGCATGTTTGATTGATAAAATTGTTTGTTCATTCATTGACTGCTATGAAAAAATGATGCAATCCCTTAGAAGCACATAATTCTTTAGAAAGGCATATATTTTGTTTGCATACTTAGCCAGGTGACAAGAAAACTCCATACCTGGGTTACATCCCTCTGGTACCTAAAAAGTCACCCTTGTAGGAACTACAAAACACCTTGCCCTTGAATTTTCTAAGCACCATGTCTGTTACCGCACATGTAGAATGTCTTTAAAGATATCACTGCTAATATTCCTCTTAGAGCTCCTCTTAACAGATTTACCTTAAAGTTTGTGGGAAAAAATGCGTATTTTACCTAATGAATTTATATACTTAAACTAAAACAAGGATAACATCATGATGAATGTTTCATTGTTTGCTGTAGATTCTAAGAAGCTTAGATCTCAATTTCATAATAGCTGTCCTCAGAAAACATTTCTTATACTATAATATATTCTCTTCCCTCTGCCACTTGGTGTATTTTATCCAACATTAAGGTATTTTTTTCTTGGAAAATCCATACCTCTATGTATGTTGCCTTGTATATTTTTGAGATGCACATATTGCATATTCATATATTTGCCCTTCTCATTCAATTCTTCTCAACACACTGTTTTCAGGAAAAAAAAAGTTTTCCCTAATAATTTCAAACCTTTATGTTCCATGTTACTTTCATTTGTTTGAAATAACCTAGGCCTATCAATAGAAGGCTTTGAGTTCGTCGATCCGGTTAACAAGCTGGGAGCAGTATGGGTTGGGTAGAACTCATACAATTAAAATAGTGACCAAGTGAAAAGTATCTAGATACTTCTCACTAACCAGCGGAAGCAAAAGGTGAAACAAGACACTTTTATTCATGCATCTAACTCTCTACTTCCCTAGTGCATATTCTTTTTTCCTCCTACCCACCTTGGGATACTTGACTTGGACAGTGAGGAACTAATGGTGATTTTCACCAAGAAATAAGAAACATTCCCAGGTAGAGCAAATCTTTCTGAGTATTTATTTTCTGTTTAGAATTCACTTTAAACCCGAGGAAATTCTCCAGAGCAGTGACCTGGGACACCCGTAGCTGCCTAATCATTCTCTTGGCAGTTATGTGAGATAGACATCCAACATAAGCATGTACTTAATTTAAATACTACTTTTTAAATAATTAGTACCATCTTCCTCTACAACCAGTCCCTTTTCTGTTGCTTTCTCAGGAATATATAAACACATTCTCCAAAATATTTTTTCCAAAGCATTCTAAAAATAAATTATAAAGAGCAGAAGAAATTAGTGTATTTGTCAGAAACATGGCAACTTATATATGCAAGTAATTTTCACATTATTCTTTAGTGTCAAAGTTTGAGAATATGTAATGTTAATGTAGGCTTCACTGTTCTCTGTATATACCTCACACCAAACAGGAAGGTGATAGGAACCGGCATCCTGAGAGGCAACAAAGAGAAAAGCCTACCTCTGCCTTCATCTTTTAATTTCTTCTGGGATTCCCCGAAGTAAATGATAGACTCTCAATAGTATACTCCAGATACAGAATTCCAAACTGATACGAGCTGATAAGGGATTATAGAAGTCACCTGGTTTAATCCTCTTTTCTTTTTCTTTTCCTTTTGTTTTCTTTCTTTTTAACATATGAAAAAGACCTTAATCAAATAATTAATGAGAGAATCACTAAGATGAGCGGTCTTTGTTCCCATCTGATACTGAAAAGATGTGTCTTATTTCCAAGTCTCAGAAATTTTTTTATCTGACAGTACCCACTCTTGTTATAATCAATCTCCAAAGTCTATTTTTAAAAGGTTTACCTCATAAGCTTTGGCCTGTTTATTTCTACAAGCGCAATAAGAATGCTAATTAATCACATAGGCCTTCTTGAGTTTTGTCTGCAAGTGTAATACCATACAATATTGAGCAACTAGTAAGGCCACAATTAACTTCTGTCCACAAGTTTATATAAGAAACCTCAAATTGGACTTATAATGCTTATTGTTGTTCTCCCAGCCAAGGCTAGGAAACCAAGCCCAAGATACATGCTCCACCAGATTTCATGAACAGCCCCTATACACTTAGGTGAAATACTCTCTTGTTGAGGTCCTCCAATATTGATAATGTCCCTGTCCTGTCAGGAAGCGACCATCATTATTACCAGTGAGACTGGCATTCTATAGGCAGGTACAAGAGCACTTTCCTGGAAAGACTTTGTAGGCATTAAGCCCATATATATTTCTTAATACTGAGTTTTTCACATCTGATTAAAAGATGATCATTCTCAAATATATCACTG
Organism: Homo sapiens; assembly: GCF_000001405.40. NCBI lineage: Eukaryota > Metazoa > Chordata > Mammalia > Primates > Hominidae > Homo > Homo sapiens. The sequence goes on from NC_000023.11 coordinate 147,488,590, forward strand.
CAGATATAATGGTTAATTTTATGCATCAATTTGACTGGGCTAAAGGATACCTAGATAGATAGCTGTCAAAACATTATTTCTGGGTGTGTCCATGAGAGTCTTTTAAGAAGAAGTCAGTGTTTGAGTTAACACACTAAGATCACATTCACCAGTATGAGTGGACATTATCCAATCTATTGAGGAATGAATACACACACACACATATGTGTGTATATATATACACACACATATGTACATATATACACATATATGTGTATATATAAACTAAAACAAGGATAACATCACGATGAATGTTTCATTGTTTGCTGTAGATTCTAAGAAGCTTAGATCTGAAGCTTATATGTATATAAATGTGTACATATGTATACATATGTGTACATACGTATACATATGCGTATATGTGTACTTATGTGTACACACGTATACATATGTGTATATATGTGTACGCACGTATACATATGTATACATATGTGTATATATGTGTACATATGTATACATATGTGTATATATGTGTACATATGTATACATATGTGTATATATGTGTACATGTATATATACACATACATACATATATACACAGGTGTGTATATATGCGCATATGTGTATATATGTATATGTGTGTATATGTGTATATATGTATATCTGTGTATGTGTATATATGTAATATGTGTGTATATATGTATATATGTGTGTATATGTGTATATATGTATATGTGTGTATACGTGCATATATACATATATATACATGTATACACACATATACATATATACACACACATATACATATATACACACACATATATACATATATACACATACACACACACACACACACACACACATATAGAGAGAGAGAGAGAGAGAGAGGAATACATATATATAAAACCTGTTGGTTCTGTTTCTCTGGAAAACCCTAAGGACCTTGATAGCACAATTAAGTGGGCCAATCATAACCTGGTAAAAAGGAGAACATATTCTTAATGAACCAATGCAAATAATGATATTGCCATGAAATGTAAAAAGACTCAGTAAATGTAATTGTTTCTGAATCCTGAGGGGTCAATAACAGCTACTGTTTAAAAATGATTCATGTCAATTAATTGTGGTTAGAAGAGTTTTTTTTTAAAGAGCTTCCTTATATACTCATAAAATAGCATTAAAAATAATACCAACTATAATCCAAACAACCACAAATTAATGTCCCTTCTGACTTTATTCGGTCCCTCCCATGTAATTCTCTACATCTTGGGTCAACAGCCTGCTTTAATAAAGTATGTCTGCTTGGGGACTACAAAGTGTCCTGGAAATCCTTACCCAGTCCACTTAAATACAAGCTGAAATGTGTCTAAGAGATGTTAGCTCAGAAGCCAAGGATCTGTTCTTTGAAATATCAATAAAGTACCTGGTATATTCCTTTCTAATCCAGTCTGAGTCTGAGTTTCCTTGCTGAGACAAATTCTAGCCTATAGCCTATAACAGGTTTCAGACAAACATCAGGAAGCAGAAGTCCATGTAGTTAACATTTTTTTTGTTGCTCTTGCTTCCTTTGGTTAAGTACGTATTTTTCTTCTTTCTGAAAAACTTCCTTTAACATTTCTTGTAGTGCAAGTATGTTGATGCTAAACTATTTCACGTTTTATATACCTGGAAAAGTCTGTATTTGGACTTCAGCTTTTAAAAGTATTTTTGTTGGATAATAGATTCCTGTATGCTCCATCGTTTTCTTGCTTGCATTGTTTCCAGTGTGAAACCTGTTGTCATTATTATCTATGATCTACTATACGGAATGGGTCATCCTTCATCCAGCTGATTTTAAGATTTTCTTTATCACTGGTTTTGAGCAATTTAATTGTAATTTGCCTGGGGTTCATTTTCTTCTTTCTTCTGCGTAGAGTTCATTAAAACTCTTGGATCTATGAGTTTCTAACTTTTATCAAATTTAGAAAATGTTTGGCTATCACTACTTCAAATATTCTCTGGATTGCACCCCCCAACCAGGGACTCCAATTGTATGTATATCAGGCTGCTTGAAGTTGTCCTATAATTCACTACATGCTCTTTTATTTTCTTTTTAAGTGCTGCTGCTTCTATTTTTTCACTTTAGATAGATTGTTGCTAGTTTATTATTATTATACTTTAAGTTCTAGGGTACATGTGCACAATGTGCAGTTTTGTTACATAGGTATACATGTGCCATGTTGGTTTGATGCACCCATCAACTCGTCATGTACATTAGGTATTTCTCTTAATGCTATCCCTCCACCAACCCCCACCCCACAACAGGCACTGGTGTGTGATGTTCCCTGTCCTGTGTCCAAGTGTTCTCATTGTTCAATTGCCACCTATGAGTGAGAACATGTAGTGTTTGCTTTTCTGTCCTTGTGATAGTTTGCTGAGAATGGTGGTTTCCAGCTTCAACCATGTCCCTGCAAAGGACATGAACTCATCCTTTTTTATGGCTGCATAGTATTCCATGGTGTATATGTGCCACATTTTCTTAATCCAGTCTATCATTGATGGGCATCTGGGTTGGTTCCAAGTCTTTGCTATTGTGAATAGTGCTGCAATAAACATATGTATGCATGTGTCTTTAGAGCAGCATGATGTATGATCCTTTGGGTATATACCCAGTAATGGGATCACTGGGTCAAATGGTATTTCTAGGTTCTAGATCCTTGAGGAATCACCGCACTGTCTTCCACAATGTTGCTAATTTCAAGTTCATCAATCTTTTCTTCTGTGCTCTCTATTTTTTTGTTAATCCCATCTGGTCTATTTTCTATTTCAGACATTTTCATCTTTATTAGTTCAAATTTGGTCCGTTTTATATTTCTCATGTTACTACTTTATTTTTTCACATATTCAGTACAGTTAGAGTAACCCTTTTAATACCCTTTTCTGTTAATCCTAACATCTATCAGCTCTCTTTATTACAGGTTATACTTTCCCGCTTTTTTGTATGCCTGAAAAGTTTTTATTGGTTGCCAGTCATTGTGAATTGTACCTTGTTTGGTTTTAGATATGTTTGTATTCCTATAAATATTTTTGAGATTGTTCTCAGATGCCGTTAATTTACTTGGAAACAGTTTCATCTTTTCAGGTCTTTCTTAAGATTTGGTAAGCAGGAAAAGAGAAGTGTTTATGGCTAATCATTCCCCATTATTCAGGCAAAACCCTTCTGAGTATGCTACCCAATGGCCTGTGAATCTTAAGATTTTCTTGTCTGGATGATGAGAACAGGCACTATTAACAGCCCACTTGAGGTTCAGGAACAATTATATCTCATGCCATTGGATGGTTCTTTTCCTGGACTCAGGTAATTTCACACACAAGTGCTTATCAGTACTACATTGAATACTCAAGGAAGACTCTCCACAGAACTCTAGAGTTATATCTCTGTGTAGATCTGAGAATAATCGTTACTGTTATTTCTTTACTGCTATATAAATGTGGCATATGCCTTAAAGACACTTGCCGCTGAAGAGAGTTTTGATTACTACTTCAGAAAAATTAAATTCCTTTTTAAAAAACCAAATACTGTTATCCCATAAATACATGTAGTAAACAAAGTAAATGCTTAACTGCTCAGATTCTGAGTATTTTAATGGTAATTATTATGCTGTAGATATTAGTCTAGTAAACACATAATTTATTCTTATATTATTTTGGCATTTCTCTAAAATGCTCTACTCATTTTTCTTATGTCCATCATTTCCTCCACTGTTGATCTGAAAAATGGCTTGCACCTTTTACCACGGATAAGACTCCTAAAAAGCAAAGAGAAAACATTCAAGTACTAGTGAGTTTGTATTTGAATTTGAGTTTGTATTTGAGTGTGGGGAAAATTGGGCTGGGCTGCAGTATGTGTAGCATGAATATGTGGGTGTGTGGGTATGTTTATTATACTCACACATGTATCATACTGTAGCATGGCCATGTGTCTGAGAAGTCTCTTGTATAGTTATGTATCTGAGATTTATGAATCTGGGAATGAGATTTAGTATGGCTGTGTATTTATAAGGCCTTCTATATGGATATGAGTCTCATGCAAGGGAACTACACTTTTGTGGAATTATGTGAGATGGTTAGGTATGCTGCCATGAAGTAGTTGTGTGGAAATGGCAGGTGAGGAGAGGCAACACTAGGCAGGGTGATAACAATGAGCAAATGGGGCTTCAGATTCTAAACTTTCATAGCAATGAGATTCTGTTGTACCTAATTTGAATTCAATGACCATGTCCTTAAAGCCCTTGGTTCTAGGACAAATTCTCAAAAGTAAATGAAGATTTCAGAATATATCCACCCAAAACTCATACTTGAAAATGCCTCATGTTTCAAAATTTTATTTTTTAGTATTGTTTATGCTGCAGCAGCATTTAAATAAAATTTTGATGCCCTCTAAAAGCACCCTGCGAAACAAATGAAGTATGATGAGCAAACAGCTAAGAAGTCAGGATCTATTTATCTAAATACAATTTGGCTAAGGAAGATGGCTATGCTTGCCAAGTTTGAGAGAGTCTATCTTGGTAGCTGCTTTGCTATCAGATGCAGGACTTCCACAGATAAATAGAATAGCAAAATAGGCATAGAAAGGATCATTTTATAAAGATTCCATCATTCCCATTATCTCCCCATGTCTCGTGGAAAGTAGCCCAGAACAAACCCATGAGCCAGTTGGAGCCCTATGTACTGCTATTCTTTTGGAGGAAACACCTTGGGAGGTATTAAAAGAGAACATAACAAATGGCCAGTTGCTGATATGTATAAGACCATTCACCAAACATTTCTGAAAACCTCTTTCCATTGTGCCTAGCACAGTGCTAGGAGCAGAGTACATAGAAGTAGGCTAAGACATGACCTCTGTCCTGATGATCAAGTACAAAGACATCCAACAAATATAAATGATACAGTGTTTTACCCTGAAGGATGTGTCATGTTTTCTGTTATCCACTCAAGTCCCAGCACTATGCTATAGTTGGTATCAAAAGAACAGCATCCAAGCATCCTGTGGTAATACAGAATGAACTTTCCTTGCTGCCTGCATTCAATTTTGATGTCAAGAGACTGTTCTTCAATCATATATGAGGCATATCTGATTAAACATAAATTTTATCCAACTAATAGTTATTGGGTGACTATTATGACCCAGGCCATGTTCTAGGACCTTAAGATATAATGATAAACAAAGTAGAACAAGATCATGCTCTTCATTTAGCTTGGAAGAAAGACAATAAACAATAAATATACATAAGGAATAAGGCAGCTACCTAGTAATGTAGATGATAAGTGCCATGGAGGTGGGTATTCAGACTGGTTAAGGGGAATCAGTAGTAACGAGGGGGGAGGTTAGAGCTTTAAATAAGAAGGGCAGGGTAGCTCTCACTGAGAATATGATATATATATGAGAGAGGACATGAAGGAGACAAGGGAGTTGACCAAGGAGCTATGTGGGAGAGAGCACTGGGGAAAGGGCATTCCTGGCAGAGAAAACAGGTAGAGTCAGATCCTGAGTGGGGAGCATGCCTGGCCTGCTCAAGGAACAGCAAGGAAGCCAGTGGGCTGGAGCTGAGGTATGGAGAGTAGGAGATGAAGTTAGAGGTGGGGGATGAGGGTGGTAGTGGTGCATATTATGTAGGCTCTAGGGGGTCATGAAAAGGACATAGAAAGGAAGTTGTAATATAGGGGAAAGAATACTACACCTGCTACCAGAAAGGCCAGGTTCAAACCCTGATCTATACCTTTTCTAGAGGTATGACTTTAGGCAAGTCACTTAATTGTCCAGAGCTAAGTTTCCTCAAGTTAGTGGAACAAACATTTTTGAAGTGCTTCCTCTGCACCAGTGGATTCAGCAAAAGAAAACAGGATGTATTTGGCCAAGAAGTCTACAGGCTATTAGGAAGAGAAGGCAAGGAAACCAACAGGTCCAGTAGAGTACAGTGAATGGAACAATGAAAGTGAAAGGTAGAGAGGTGTTGGCGTGGGGGAAACCTTCCTGATCACACACTCACCACCTGCTTCATATTCTGTACCACAGAACTCTGTTTTCTTCACTTCATGGCACACAGAACAATTGAAAATTATTACATTCTTTGTTTTATTGTCTCTATCTCCTCATTAGAAAAATATCTCAGGGCAGGACCCTTGTCTCACTTCTTCACTGCTCTATTGTATCCCAAATGCCTAGCACAGGGCCAGCACAATACTAGCCCTTCACGTTGTGGAAAGAGTGTAATAACGGAAAGCTTCAGAGAGTAGGGTTATGTCCGGACATATAGAAACCACCTCCTAAAAAAGCACAGGGTCTGTTTACCAAGAGTCACACATCTACATTACAGAAGTGTAATACCAGTTCTCTCATAAAATGGTTATGAGAATTCAACAAGGTCATGTATTTGAGTGGTGTGGAGTGGCTCCCCATAGTTGTGGTGGGAACCAAGTTGATAATATTTGTTACAGATGGTTTGCTCTGTATGTTGCTGAACGACCTCTTCGATGAAATTGGCATGCAATTGCCTAGACGTCTCAGTGCTATTTAATGAGGCTGTTGTGTCAGCAAGAAGAATTCATGAGTATGTTACTGCTATCTCCCAAACCTTGCAAATGGGTATCTAAATCCTCATTCTCCCTTTGTAGTCTCTTACTACCTCAGCAACACTGGGATAAAACTATAATAAATAATCAATAGCACTCCTCTCGAGGGAAATGCTGCTCTAGCAGTCCATGAAAGACAAATGCTGCTGTAGCCATTGAAAGAAATTACCTTTATGAAAGATCTACTAAATCAACACGGGGGAGCATTGGGATGAGAAAAAAGAATACCAACAATGGATTTTGTCAGACTCACACAGAGCAATCCAGAAATGTTGTAAAACATTATACAGATAACCCCCCAGAAGTCAAAGAACCAGCATTTATAATGCATTTGAGATGCAGCTTTGAGACATGTTCATATAACTTCCATATTATTTTTCATTTAAATCAAAACTGAAAGTTGAAAAGATTTTCTGAAATTTATGCCACAATCATCTCTTTAGTGTTCCATTGCATCTAGTGTTGTAATAATCAGGTAGGAAAAATATGCACAGGGAGATCGTTTTTCAAGTCTTTGATTCTATAGAGGCTGAAAATTGTAGAAAAATACCAGAGGATTTGAAGTGCCAACAAAGTTAGGATCAAAACCTGGCTCAGCTATTTAAAGCTATGTGCCCATCAGCAAGTCGCTTAGTCTCTAAGAGTCATATATAAAATGGAAATTATAATTCTTGTCCTCATGGAGTTGACAGAAGGAACAAATGAGATAATAGATGTGAAAATAATTCTTTACAATGTGAACTTATACACAGATGTTATGCCGATTATTTTGATTTCTACAAATGATAACTGGTAATAGTACAGGTTTTCTAGTAGTTCAAGTTGCTACTACTAATAACATGTTGTTTCTGAATAGTTATGATCATGTAGCTGTCATATTTTTGATGATTCTCCTGCCTATAGATTATCAAAACTCCATATTTAACATCTAAGGAATTTCTCAACATTACATAAGATTTCAGACTGTGTCGTCCATTATTCCTTCCCTACTATCTAGACCAGTCCCTGGCACATAGGTGGTACCTGCTATATAGCTGTTGATTAATGGATTAGTTAACAAACCTACATTTCTATCCCATTCACCATTACTCTTCTTGATACACAGCCCAGAGTTCAGCCTCACTGAATTACATTCTGCTCATACACATTCTATACCTTTCCAGCTTCAAGCCTTTGTTCAAACTTTTCTTCCACCTGGAATGCCCTCCCCCCACTCCTTTCCATGTTTTCTTATCTTTACCTAATAGCCTTCTCTTTTGTCCCAAGTAGAAGTAACATCTTCCTCCTCAGGCCCCCTAGAATATTTTATTTGTACTTCTCACATGATACTTGTAACATTTATTATTGTGTTATGCAAATTGAACAATGTGTTATATTTCCCCTACTAAGCTACATCCTTAATGAATTTAGGATCCTTAATGGATTCATTGCTGCATTGAACACAGCACCTATCACAGTCCCCTGCACAAAATAGATGTTTCTATGGCTTAAATCTGTCCCCCAAATTTCATGTGTTAGAAATTTAATCCTTAAATTCATATATTGATTTTGTTTGGAGATGAGGACCTTAGAATGCAGTTAGGATTAGGTAAGGTTATCAGGTTGAGGATGCCACGATGGGATTGGTTGCTTTATAAGAAGAGAAAGAGAGACCTGAGCTGACACATTTGTCAGCTCACCATTTGATGCCTTCTCACCATTTGATGCCTTCTACCCTGTTATGCTGTAGCAAGAAGGCCTTCACCAGATGCTGGCCTCTCAATCTTGGACTTCCATGTCTCCAGAACAATAAGACATAACTTTCCTTTCTTTATAAATTACCCAGTCCCTGGCATTCAGTTAGAGCAACAGAAAATGGACTGAAACAATGTTCAATAAATGTTTGTGAATGAAAGACAAGTAGAAGGTTAAAAGGATTATAAATTTCCTACTCACTGTTAAAAATTATACAAAGTGCTCCAATTCTGTTTAATCAGGATATGGTTTCTTGACAATTAAACCCACTTTGCTATTGAAAAATTAAGACACCAGAACATTGTGAATTCAACACTCACATTAAAATGTCTTGGGAGCTTATATTTTCTAATTTAATGATTCAGTAGAGATGAAGGAAATGTATATGATGCAAATTGCTAAAAATTCAGCAACTTGTATTAACTAAATCTCAATCTGCAAGCTTGAAATCTTCTCTATGATAATATTCTGTTTGATGACCTTTTATATTTATCCTTTGGAAACTGTGCTTAGACTTAATAACCCAACTTTCTCATTATCATTTATTTTGACCTCAAGACTAATTTTGCAGCCTGCAGGGGAAAACTTTTCCTGCTAATTAGTTCTCCTTGGTTGTATTCCAAGAGAAATGACAAATTTCACTTTGTTTAAGATGCCTCTTGATACTGGCTTCAGCCAACCGAAAACAACCATATATAATTTTAAACTCATCTATTTTTCCCCATGAGAAGAAACCAACATTTTATGAAAGCATTCCTCTAGCCATTGTCAGCATTTAGCTGCACACAACTTGGAACGCTGGTATTTCACTGTTAACATAATTAAATACAGAAGTAGTCAAATAATTTGGAAATAGTATACTAATATTTCAATAAGTTGACTAGGGTCTGACTTTTATCCTTGATTTATTTCAAATAATTGGTTTATTACTAAAGTTTACCTCTATTTTCTCTGTCAGGTTGATTACACACTATTAAAACTTACACAATTAAGGACTATTTTAGTGTTGAAGTTAAATAATTTATTAATGGATCTGTATTATGAGTAGCAATCTTCAGCCATTTGTTTATCCTTTAGGAAGGAGACAAAAAGGTGTGATTAGTAAATTCTGTTTTAATTCTAACTTTTCTACTGTTTCAAAATTCTTGGAGATGTTTCAGCTTTTTAGAGTCACCAATTTTCAACAGTGACATTTGTATTGGACTATTGACAAGACACACTTTTTTGTTGCCAATGCAGCCCTCCCATATGCTCTTTTACTGTTATTCTATTAAAAATCTCAGATGAAGTAAGCATACCTCAGCTATTTCCCTTTTAGTGATGCTTTATCAAATGTGGTATTTGAATACCCTGAGTTCAAATTTTAATTTTGCCACGAACTCATGGGTTTTGGTTTTGCCAATTTTTCTCTTCAGATCCCCTTGCTAGAATAAGATATTTAACAGCCCTATGCTCATTTTGTAATTTATAAGATGAATATAACACATTTACTACCTTCAATTTACATCTAACACTTTGTAAAACACAAATTTAACCATGTTATCTCTGCTTAAAATCCACCAGTGGCTTCCTGATGCATACAAGATGAAGACGAGACTTGTTAGCCTGGTAAACTAGGTCCTCCTTGATCTGACCATTATTGATCTCTGCAGGTATCCTATCTGCAAAATGAGTTGCTGCAACTTGCTCACACTACCTAATGCCGACTGTTAACGTCTACTCTCTACTCCACATTCAGTAATGTAACATTGCCCACAATGGGAGTATTTACATCATAGAAATCTGCAACCAGATAGTGAGTTGTGAAACAGTTAGCAGCACACTACTGGTGGTAGGTGTTTCAACCAGAAAAGCTATGATGACTCTCCAATAACATCTTATCCAACTCAAAGGAAAAGCCAAAATATTTATAATGGCTTGGAATGTTTTACCACTCTGGCCCTCATTACTTCACTACCTTCATCTCTTCTTCCTCTCTACTCCATGTATTCTATTCTAGACACACTAGTCTGTTTTCTTATTCCTCAAACACACCATACACACTCTCAGCTAAAAGACCGCCAGACACATTCTTGCCATTCTTTCTACTTCAAATGCAAATGCTCACATGGACTCCTTTTCATCTTTGAAGTCAAGTTTCAAATGCCACCTCCTCAGAAACATCTTCCTTGACTAATGCTGCAGCTTTCTTATGTAGCCCTTTTGGGAAAATTAGAACAAATTCCTTTTCTTTTTTTTTTTAACTTTAAGTTCCTGGATACATGTGCAGAATGTGCAGGTTTGTTACATAGGTATATATGTGCCATGGTGGTTTGCTGCACCTATCAACCACTCATCCAAGTTTTAAGACCTGCATGAATTAGGTATTTTTCCTAATGCTCTCCCTCCCCTTGCCCCCTACCCCAACAGGCCCCGGTGTGTGTTGTTCCCCACCTTGTGTCCATGTGTTCTCATTGCTCAACTCCCACTTATGAGTGAGAATATGAGGTGTTCCTTCCAAATCTACAGACCGAAGTATATAACATAAATTGGGGAATTTCTGCTCTGGTTGAAGTAAAGGCCTGAGGGCCCAGACCCCTCTGCCTAGTCAACCACGAAGTCAATAGACCACAGTGTAAAAATTCCTGAACTGAATGTTCTTGAAAGCCTCTGCCATCTTCAGTATTTTATGACTTTATGATTTTGTCATTTACCAGATTTCTGGGCCAGTGAGGTCATGAATAGCCAACTATATAGATGGCAAATTCATTTATTCAACAAATATTGAGTGTCTCTGTATTCTAGGTACTGTCACATGAAGGGACAAACAGCTTGAAAAAAGCATGGAGATTCTAAGATCCAATCCAGCGGATTTCCTAAACCATTCTCTCAAGTCTTCTTCTATTCTCCCTCTACCAATCCCCAACTTCTTCAAACCAAGAGATTACATCTGAAGATGTAGAAGAAAAATATTATAACCTTTATGTACTACAGGACCTAGAAAATTAGTACCATCATATTATTTCCATTATAGGAGTAATCTTTACTACTTAAACAAGCACATTTGCCCAAAGATTTCCAACAATGAAGCAAGTAATCCAAATATTACTATTAGATAATCTATGGTAGTTTCCTCATTACTTTGTTCATTAGAGTGAACAAAGGCACTAAAAGGCAATCAAAAATCACTCAAGAAATTCATTGGCTTGCAAAGACTATTCAATGTACATTACTTGGCCTATTTAGAAAATGAAATGCAAGACTAAAAAGTGTCAACTGTTAAAAACATTCAGCTCCTTGGTTTAACATATCCCTATAAATTTTTAGATTTTTTGTATCTATTACAAACGAGATTGCTTTCTTGATGTCTTATCAACTAGTTGGCAATTGCTATATTGCAACAGTACTGATTTTTCTGCGTTGATTTTCCTCTCCTGCAACTTTGTTGAATTTATCAGTTCTAGAAATTTTCAGGGAGAGACTTTAGGTTTCTATATATATATAACATGTCATAAGTAAACAGGAACAGTTAAATATGAAACACTGATGAAATAAATTGAAGAAGACACAAAAATGGAAAGACATCCCATGTTCACAGATTAAAAGGATATTGTTAAAGTGACATATTACACAAAGCAATCTACCCACTCAGTGCAATTCTTATCAAAATACCAATGACATTCTTCACAGAAATAGAAAAAAAATTCTAAAATTTCTATGGAATCACAAAAGATCTTTAATAGCCAGTGCAATCATAAGTGAAAAAAATAAACCTGGTGTCATCAAACTATCTCACGTCAAAATACACTACAAAGCTAGAAAAGCAAAAACAGCATGACAGTGGTTTAAAAAAAAAAAAAAGACATATAGACCAATGGAAAAGAACAGAGAATACAGAGACAAATCCACATACTTACAGCGATTTGATTTTCAAAAAAGGTGCCAAGAACATACATTAGAGAAATAACACCTTCTTCAATAATTGGTGGTGAGGAAACTGAATATCCATATGCAGAAGAATGAAACTATACCCTTATCTCTCAACACATACAAATATCAACTTAAAATGGATTAAGTACTTAAATCTAAAACATGAAACTATGAAACTCCTAGAAGAAAACAGAAAAAAAGCTCCGTGACATTGTTTTGGGCAATGACATTTTCAGATATTACCTCAGAAGCACAGGGAACAAAAGCAGAAATAGACAAACAGGATTACATCAAAATAAAAAGCATCTGCAAAGCCAAAGAGACAATCAACAGAGTGAAAAGACAACTGCAGAATGGGAGAAAATATTTGCAATACATTAGTTCAAAAGGGGATTAATATCCAGAATATACAAAGAGCTCAAACATCTCAACACCAAAATAATAATTATAATAATAATAATTCAATTTACGAATAGGTGAATGACCCAAGTAGACATTTCTCAAAAGAAAATATATAAGTGGCCAAAAAATACAAGAAAATGCTCAAGATATCTAAATATCAGGAAAATGCAAATCAAAACCACATTAAGATATCATTTCACCCCAGTTAGAATGGCTATTATCAAATGGACAAAAAATAACAAATGCTGCCAAGAAAGTGAAGAAAAGGGAACTCTTATATACTTTTTGTGGGAATGTAAATTCCTACAGTCATGAAAAATGGTATGAAGTTTCCTCAGAAAACTAAAAACGATACTACCATATAATCCAGCAATCTCACTATTGAGTATATTACCTGAAGGAAAGAAAATCAGAAATTCAAAGAGATACCTGTACCTCCATGTTTATTGCAACACTATTCACAATAACCAAAAATCAATCTAAGTACACATCAATGGGTGAATGGATAAAGAAAATGTGGTGCATATATGCCATGGAATACTATCCAGCAATTAAAAAAGAATGAAATTCCGTAATTTGTGGCAATGTGGATGAGCCCAGAGGATATTACGTTAAGTGAAATAAGACAGGCCCAGAAAGATAAATACCATGTTTCCTCACTCATATGTGGAAGCCAAACAAGCTGATCTCATAGAAATACAGGAATACCTTGTTTTATTCATCTTTGCTTTATTGCATTTTGTGGATTTTTTTTTTTTTTAACAAACTGAAGGTTTGTGGCAACTCTGCATAGACCAAGTCTATCAGCACCATTTTTCTATCAGCGTGTGCTCATTCCATGTTTCTGTGTAACATTTTGGTAATTCTCACAATATTTCAAACATTTTTATTATTATATCTGTTATGGTGATCTATAATCAGGAATCTTTAATGTCACTATTGTAATTGTTTGGGGGCACCATGAATTGTGCCCATATAAGTTGGTGAACTTAATAAATGTTATGTGTGCTCTGACTGCTCTACTAACCAGCTGGTCCTTCATCTCTCTCTGCTCAAGTGTTCCTATTTTCTGAGATTCAGCAACATTGTAATTAGGCCAATTCATAACCCTACAATGGCCTAAGTATTCAAGTGAAATAAAGAGTTACATACCTGTCATTTTAAATCAAAAGGTAGAAATAATTAAGTTTAGTGAGGAAAGCATGTCAAAAGCCAGGATAGGCTGAAAACTAGGCTACTTGCACCAAACAACCAAGTTCTGAATGCAAAGGAAAAGTTCTTGAAGAAAATTAAAAGTGCTACTCCAGTGAACACAGGAATGATAAGTAAGCAAAACAGCCGTATTGCTGATGTGGGGCAAGCTTTAGTGATCTGGATAGACCTAACCAGATATAACATTCCCTTAAGCTGAAGCCTATTCCAGAGCAAGACCCTAATTCTCTTCAATTCTATGAAGAATGAGAGAGATGAGAAAGCTGCAGAAGAAAAGTTTAAAGCTAGCAAAGGTTGGTTCTTGAGGCTGAAACAAAGAAGCTGTCTTTATAACATAAAAGTGCAAGGTGGGCCGGGCACGGTGGCTCACGCCTGTAATCCCAGCACTTTGGGAGGCCAAGGCGGGTGGATCACAAAGTCAGGAGACCGAGACTATTCTGGCCAACATGGTGAAACCCTGTCTCTACTAAAAATACAAAAGTTAGCTGGGCGTAGTGGCACGTGCCTGTAATCCCAGCTAGTCCGGAGGCTGAGGCAGGAGAATCGCTTGAACCAGGGAATCGGAGGTTGCAGTGAGCCGAGATCGTGCTATTGCACTCCAGCCTGGTGACAGAGAGAGACTCAGTCGCAAAAAGAAAACAAGAAAAGTGCAAGGTGAAGCAGCATGTGCTGATGTAGAAAATGCAGCAAGTTATTCAGAAGATACAGTTAAGGCAATTGATGAGGGTGGCTACATTATACGACAGATTCTCAATGGAGACAAAACAGCCTTCTATTGGAAGAAGATGCCATCTGGGACTTTCATAGCTAAAGAGAAGTCAATGACTGGCATTAATGTTTCAAAAGATAGACTTACTCTCTTGTTAGGGGCTAATGCATTTGTGATTTTAAGTTGAAGTCAATGCTCGTTTACCATTCTGAAAATCCTGGAGTCCTTAAGAATTATGCTAAATACATCCCGACTAATACAGCCTGACTATGCCCTATAAATGAAATAGCGAAGCCTGGATAACAGCATATCTGTTTATACCATGGTTTACTTAATATTTTAAGCCCATAGTCAAGACCTCCTCCTCAGAAAAAAAAGATTCCTTTCAAAATATTACTGCTCATTGACAAGGAATCTAGTCACTTAAGAGTTCTGATGGGGATGAATGTTGTTTTCATGCCTGCTAACATTACATTTATTCTGCAGCCCGTGGATCAAGGAGCAATTATGACTTTCAAATCATCTTTAGAAAACATGTTTCAAAAGGTTCTAGCTGCCATAGATAGTAATTCCTTTAATGGATCTGAGCAAAACAAATTGAAAATCTTCTGGAAAGTATTCACAATTCTCAATGTCATTAAGAACACTTGTGATTCATGGGAAGAGGTCGAAATATCAACACTGACCAGAATTGGAAAGAAGTTGATTTCAATCCTTGGGAATGACTTTGGGAGAGTCAAGACTTCCATGGAGGAAGTAATTGCAGATGTGGTGGAAATATCAAGAGAACTAGAATTAGAAGTGGAGCCTGAGGATGTGACTGAATTGCTGTAGTTTCATGATAAAACTTGAATGGATAGTGTGTTGCTTCTATGGATGAGCAAAGAAGTTGGTTTCTTGAAATGAAATCTGTTCCTTTTGAGGATTCTGTAAAGATTGTTGTAATGGCAAAAAAAAAAAAAAAAGGATTTAGAATATTCCATTAACTGAGTTGATAAAGCAGTGGCAGGGTTTGAGAGGATTGACTCTAATTTTGAAAAAATGTTCTACTGTAGGTAAAATGCTATCAAACACCATTGCATTCTATGGAGAAATCTTTTATGAAAGAAAGAGTCCGTCAATGTGACAAACTTCATTGTTGTCTTATTTTAAGAAATTGCCACAGCCACCCCAACCTTCATCAACTGCTACACCAATCAGTCATTAGCCACCAATATCAAGGCAAGACCCTCCATCAGCCAAAATATTACAACTCGCTGAGAGCTTAGATTATTATTACCATTTTATAGCAATAAAGTACACTTCTTAGAAATGTTATTGCACACTTAATAGACTACAGTATAGTATAAATATAACTTTCACATTTACTGGAAAACCAAAAAGTTTGAGTGACGCACTTTATTGCAGTGGTCTGGAACAAAACCTGCAATATCTCTGAAGTATGCTTGTAGAGAATACAATAATGGATACTACAGAATGGGAAAGGTAGGGAGGAGGCAGATGAAACGGTTTGGCTGTGTCCCCACCCAAATCTCATCTTGAATTCCCACGAGTTGTGGGAGGTAATTGAATCATGGGGGCAAATCTTTCCTGTGCTGTTCTCAGATAGTGAATAAGTATCACAAGATCTGATGGTTTTATAAAAAGGAGTTCCCCTGCATAAGCTCTCTCTGTCTGCTGCCATCCATGTAAAATGTGACTTGCTTCTCCTTGCCTTCTGCCATGATCCTGAGGCCTCCCAACCACGTGGAACTGTAAGTCCATTAAACCTCTTTCTTTTGTAAATTGTCCAGCCTCTGGTATGTCTTTATCAGCAGCATTAAAACAGGCTAATACAACAGGTATAAGGAAAGGTTGGTTAAAAGATAAAAAATAGAGTTAGATGGAATGAATAAGTTACAGTGTTCTACAGCACTAGAGGGTGACCATAGTTAATAATAATTAATTGTATATTTTTAATAGCTAGATGAGAGGATTTTGAATGTTTTCAGCATGAAGAAATAAATAATTGTTTGAGGTGATGAATATGCTAATTACACTGATTTGATCATTACACATTGTTTACATGTATGGGAATATCACTTTGTACCCTATAAATATGTACAACAATTGCGTGAACTAAAAATATGTTTTAAAAGTAAGTTCCCCAACTAGTCTATCAATTTTGATGAAGATCTGAGTTCAGGACCCAAACTTCCCACGACAGTTTTTCTACAAACAAGGAAACAAGGCAGAAGGTAGTTATTGTAAGGTTAAAGATATTGATGGCATGAAATGAGGCAGTATCAGTCAGATAATTTTTAGAGATATTTGGAATGCAAAGTCAGCAAACCTTGATACTTTACTGATTATAGATCACAGAGGGCTGGGTGCAGCGGCTCATGCCTGTAATCCTAGCACTTTGGGAGGCCTAAGTGCGTGCATCACTTGAGGTCAGGAGTTCGAGACCAGCCTGGCCAACATGCCAAAACCCCATCTCTACAAATATACAAAAATTAGCCTGGCATGGTGGCATGTGCCTGTAGTCCCAGCTACTCAGGAGGCTGAGGCAGGAGAATTGCTTGAACTGGGGAGGTGGAGGTTATAATGAGCCAAGATCATGCCACTGCACTCCAGCCTGGGTAACATAGTGAGACTCTGTCTCAAAATAATAATAAAAATAATTAATTAAAAAATAAGATCACAGAGACAAGGAAGAGGTCAAGGATGAATCCCAGTTTTCTTACTTGCATAACCAAATAGATCAGATGGTACTAACTGCTC